>NC_000001.11:51220501-51372016 GCF_000001405.40 Homo sapiens | reverse complement strand
CGTCATATAGCCTATTGCTCCTAGGCTTCAAACTTGTACAGCCTTGAATACTATACTGAATACTGTAGGCAGTTGTAACGCAATGGTAAGTATTTATGTATCTAAACATAGAGTAAAAATTCAGTATAGAAAATAGAAATGGTACATCTGTATAGGACACTTAACCATGAACGGAGCTTGCGGGGCTGGAAGTTGCTCTGGGTGAGTCAGTGAGTCAAGTAATAGTGAATGTGAAGGCCCAAGACATCACTGTACATTGTTGTAAACTTTATAAACACTGTACACTTGCACTACACTAAATTTATAAAAAACATTTTTCTTCAATAATAAATTAACCTTATCTTACTGTAACTTTTTAACTTTCTAAAACTTTAAAAAATTTTTGAACTTTTTGACTCTTGTAATAAACCTTTAGTTTAAAACACTATACAGCTGTACAAAAATATTTTCTTTCTGTATATCTAAACTTTGCCTACTTTTAAATTTTTTTTTTCTTTTTTTTTTTAACTTTTAAACTTTTTTCTTAAATGTAAGATGCAAAAGAGAAAAAAGGAAAAAAAATTAATACACAAACAAACATGAGCCTAGGCCTGCACGGGGTCAGGACCATCAATATCACTGTCTTCCACCTCCACATCTTGTCCCCCTGGAAGGTCTTTGGGGGCAGTCAAACACATGAAGCTGTCATCTCTTACGATAACAATGCCTTCTTCTGGTATATCTCCTGAAGGACCTGCCTGAGGCTCTTTTTCAATTAACTTATTTGTTGTATATGTAGAAGGTGAACACTAAAATAACGATTGGCCAGGCACAGTGGCTCACACCTGTAATCCCAGCACTTTGAGAGGCCACGGTGGGTGGATTGAGGTTGGGAGTTCGAGACCAGCCTGGCCAACATGGTGAAACTCAATCTCTACTAAAAAATACAAAAAAAATTAGCTGGGTGTGGTGGCATACACCTGTAATGCAAGCTACTCGGAGGCTGAGGCACAAGAATCGCTTTAACCCGGGAGGTGGAAGTTGCAGTGAGATGAGATCGCACGACCGCACTCCAGCCTGGGCAACAGAGCAAGATTCCATCTCAAAAAAACCAAAATAGGGTGGGCATGGTGGCTTATGCCTGTAATCCCAGCACTTTGGAAGGCTGAGGTGGGTGGATCACCTGAGGTCAGGAGTTCGAGACCAGCCTGGCCAACAGCGAAACCCTATCTCTACTAAAAGTGCAAAAATTAGCCAGGCATGGTGGTACGTGCCTATAATCTTAGCTACTCAGGAGGCTGAGGCAGGAGAATTGCTTGAACCCAAGAGGCGGAGGTTTCGGTGAGCTGAGGTTATGCCACTGCACTCCAGCCTGGGCTACAGAGTGAGACTCTGTCTTTAAAAAAAAAAAAACAGCCTAACAAACAAAATAATAATAAAATAACGATTAAAAACTATAGTATAGTAAATATGTAAACCAGTAACATAGTTGTTTATTATTATTATCAAATACGGGTTGAGCATCCAAGGTCTGAAAAATCTAAAATTTGAAAATCTAAACCTTTTTGAGCACTGATATGATGCTCCAAGGAAATGCTTATTGGAGCATTTTTGGTTTCAGGATTTTTGGATTTGGAGTACTCAACTTATAAGCATATACAGTGCAAATATTCCAAAATCTGCAAAAATCTGAAATCCAAAACACTCCTTCTCCCAAGCATTTCAGATAAGGGATACTCAGCCTGCATTGTGTACTCCACATAATCGTGTGTGCTATACTTTGATACGACTGGCAACACAGTAGGTTTGTTTACACCAACATCACCACAAACACATGAGTAATGCATTGGACTATGGATATTATGATGGCTATGAAGTCATTAGGTGATAGGAATTTTTTAGCCCAATTATAATCTTACTGGGCCACCATCATATATGTAGCCTGTTGTTGACCAAACATTGTTATGTGGCATATGTCAAGATTTCTGGTAGATAGCTGTTTTTCAGGGAATTATTTGTGAGCCTTAAAATTGGTTTCCCTTATTCCTTGTTATTCATCTGGTTATGCTAAGAAATGTTATATTTGTTTGGACGATTCTTAATAGACAGTTTCTGTCCCTTTTTTCTTTGCATATTTTCAACAAATATGAGCATCTCCTAGTTTCCAGACCTTGTGCTAGGCCTTGAGGATACAGCTGTGAACAAAACAAAGTTCCTGTCTTCATAGAGTTTGTATAAGAAAGATAGGCAATGAACAAATATATGTCAAATACTGATGAGTACTGTGATTAAATCAGGGTAAGGGATAAAAAGTGATATACCTAAAATGTAGCTTTTTCATGTACACCTTCACAAAAAACCGTATCAGCATAGCATGATCTCAAATATGTAAGAAAAAAATACCAGGAATAAAGGCTGTTAAAGAAGTATGCTGAAATATTCATAAGGGTTATTTCTGATAGTGAGATTTAGGGATGATTTTTAAATTATACTTTTATATATTTTTCCAAAGCATTCATTACCTTTATTCTTTGGGGAAAGGCGGTACTAATGAGGTCATAAGTGCAGCTAAAGCCCAGTTCTGCTGGCTCATAGCCCCTGTGTACACCAAGAGGAAGAAAGTCACCTGCATGGTTTCTCTAAAAGTGTTTCTGGAACTCCCCCCAGCAGGTATCTTACGCGTGATCTGAACAAGTTGAACTCATTGAGTCCTGCTTTCTGAACGGGCCTCTGCCTCAAATCAACCATGATCAGTATCTGAGAAAGTTATTTGTCATTCATCTAAGATTTGTCTTTCTGCAGTGTTTAGACTAGTGCTAAATAGGTCATTTATGAGGAAAGTGTAGAAAAACTCTTTAGTAAGGTACTATATATTCTTCATATAGAAGTGTCCTTTTTAAAATTAATTTTGTTCACAATATATGCTTCACAATATTCCAGTCAAATCTGACCTAACTGAGGCTATTGCACACATGTTGTGACTTGTAAAGGCTGTGGGACAGGACAGAGAAAAGGCATGAAGCAAATTTTCAGTCCCACAAGTGAAATGAGCCCAACTCTTTTTCCCTTGTCAGCAGTCAGGGAGAGCATCTTCACCCCACTCAGGCTGTGCCTTAGCTACCTCAGCATCAGAAATAACAGGAGCCGGGCACGTGGCCTATAATCCCAGCACTTTGGGAGGCTTAGGCCGGCAGATTGCTTGAGGTCAGAGGTTTGAGACCAGCCTGGCCAACATAGTGAAACCCCGTCTCTACTAAAAATACAAAGAAAGAATTAGCCAGGTGTGGTGGCACACACCTGTATTCCCAGCTACGTGGGAGGCTGAGGCACGAGAATCACTTGAATCTGGGAGGCAGAGGTTGCAGTGAGCCGAGATCGTGCCACTGCACTCCAGCCTGGGTGACACAGGCGAGACTCCATCTCCAAAAAAAAAAAAAAAGAAACAAAAAAGAAAAATAACAGGAAAAGGACAGAAAGAAGGGAAACCCTGAAACTACCTATGATGAGGCTGGGCCCTAGGCTGAGGATTCAGCAGATATGTATCAATGAAAAGGCCATCTTTTATAGCTAGAATTATAGGATTTCCTATAACCCTGAACTTCCAACATCCTCTTCAGGATCAGAGTTGCTGGTATATCCCTAAAGGCCTGATTTCTCTATGCTTCCACCCACTCCTTTTTCCCACTTGGGCTACCCTTTGCCTACAGCTGTCTTGGTGACGAAATGTTTGGTGACAAAGCAAACAAAAATAGTGTATCTTCTTTGCTCCTCTTTTTATGTCCAAGATATACTCATTTTTAGAGATACGGGCACACTTTACACATTCAAATGGGCGGATAGGCACACTTTTGTTCTAAGAATAGTTTGAGGATAACTTTTCTTTTTTTATTTTATTTTATTTTTTTTGAGACGGAGTCTTGCTCTGTCGCCCAGGCTGGAGTGCAGTGGCGCAATCTCAGCTTACTGCAGCCTCCACCTTCCAGGTTCAAGTGATTCTCCTGCCTCAGCCTCCTGAGTAGCTGAGATTACAGGCGTGTGCCACCATGCCCGTCTAATTTTTGTATTTTTAGTAGAGACGGGGTTTCACCGTGTTGGCCAGGCTGGTCTCAAACTCCTGACCTCAGGTGATCTGCCCGCCTCGGCCTCCCAAAGTGCCGGGATTACAGGCGTGAGCCACTGTGCCCGGCCTGAGGAGAACTTTTCTGTGCCTCTTTGTCTTGCCTTCTCTTTTGCAGTTCTTTCCTTGCCTTCCTTTCCAACTGTTTGCTTTGTTTCTTTCCATCTTCCTGTATCAGGCAGCAATTCCTATAAACATTCTTTGACGTTATTGGTAGCCCTTACACCTGAATGGGTGAAGCCTATCTCAGAGTAGATCATTCATTCCAGCTGAAAATGTTAGTCTGCTTGGTAAGTGCAATGTGATGGAAGAAACAACTTCTCAGGCCTGTGAAACATTGATTAAATATACTTTGTTTGTTTGTTTGTTGGAGACAGACACGCTCTGTCGCCCAGGCTGGAGTGCAGTGTCATGATCTCAGCTCACTGCAACCTCCGCCTCCTGGGTTCAAGCGATTCTCCTGCCTCAGCTTCCCAAGCAGCTGATATTACAGGCACGCACCACCACGCCCAGCTAATTTTTTGTATTTTTAGTAGAGAGAGGGTTTCGCTGTGTTGGCCAGGCTGGTCTCGAAATCCTGGCCTCAAGTGATCTGCCCACCTATGTTTCCCAAAGTGCTGGGATTACAGGCGTGAGCCACTGCACCTGGCCTGTTAAATATACTTTTGTAGTTACTGTTCCTTCTGCCTGGTAGCCTGGTTTCTCTTCCCCGTGTTTATCTATTTGGTAAACTCCATTTCTTACTCAAAAGATTTTATTTAAAAGCTGAATGTAATGGCTTCTTTGCTCCGTTTCCAGATTCACCCAGGCAGTTAGTGACTCCCACTACAGGTTTTTCATACCTCTTTCATAACCCATATAAGACTGTTTTATTATTATTTGTTTACATATCTTTTACTAGACTGAACTTTTTCAAGGGTAGAAATTTGTATCATTTTATTTTCTCAGACTTGGTATATGGTCAACAAATGTTTGTTGACTGTCCATTCTTTGGATAGGACTTATTGCCTGTTTTCAAGGACCTTACCATCTAATAAAGGTGATCAATTACAGGTAACCATGGTACAAACTAGAATGCCATTAGTGCCGCAGAGAAGGAAAAAATTACTTCTTGCTGTGGGAAGTAGTGACACCTAAGTTACTCCAGGGTTTGTTGATGAGGTAGCATTTGAAATATGTCTTGAAGGATGAGTGTGAAATGTGGCATTAATGGTATTATATTAGCTTTTTGTACTTCTTGATGTCTTTATTAGCAGTGATTTAAGTTCATAGGAGCTATATTATTTGAAATGTGTTCCAAAGCCTTACCTATAAATCATCTAGTTGTTCCTTTACCTGTACTTTACCTATAAATCATTACTTTATTTGCTATTACTTTACCTATAAATCATTCATCAGTTGATTTATACAAAGGAATACATCTTGTGGGGTTATCAGTATACAGTCTGTCTTTGTGGGTGTCAGTCATAAATTCAGGAATTAATATTTGAGATTGTATGTTTTCAACTGTCTGAATGTGATTAACCAAAAGAAAACATGAAATTTGATGCCTTGGCTGGGTTTGGTGGCTCATGCCTATAATTCCAGCACTCTGGGAGGCTGAGGCAGGAGGATCACTTGAACCCAGGAGTTTGGGATCAGCCTGGACAACATGGCAAAACCCCATATCTACAAAAAACACAAAAATTAGTCAGGCATGGTGGTGCATACCCGTAGTCCCAGCTACTCAGGAGGCTGAGGTGGGAGGATCACTTGAGCCTGGGAGATTGAGGCTGCAGTGAGCCATGATCGTACCACTGCTCTTGAGGCTGGGTGGACAGAGTGAGACTCTGTCTCAAAAAAAAAAAATGTCTTACTGTCCTGTTTCATTTATTTTCTTTATTCATTTTAGCCACAGACCCCTTTGCTTCTGTTTTTGGGAATGAATCATTTGGAGGTGGATTTGCTGACTTCAGCACATTGTCAAAGGTAATCTACAGTAATTAATGGGAAGGGAAAACATACTGTGTTTCCACCAAAAGAACAATCCTCCTTTCAATTATATAGTCCTCTCACAAAGTTGCAACTTGATTTCAGTAAATCACAGCAAATGTTGATTTCAGATAGAAATGAAAGATAACATATAGTTAAAGTAGACATATTTCTTTATATAACTAGACTGTATTGATGGTAGAGGTAATTATAATTTTCTGTTGGCATGTTTGCTTAACAACTTCATATTTAGTCTTCTGTCTTTTTAAACATGTTTCTCCCAATTGAACCACATTTTCCCCCTGTTGACTGTCTGGGTCAATAGGTGTAAAATCTGGGTTTTTATTTCGTCCTCTCTGTATTGGTTACTTGATTTTATGTTCTGAGGTTGTTAGGGCCAGTATTAAGGTAATTAATACACAAAGTCCAGTACTAAATGTCCACTATTTACTTTCCACTGTGGCTGTGATATTGATTCGGGCTAAGAGAAAAGGAGGATTAGATTGTTGGTTCCTTGGTTCTCAACTGAGGGTTATTTTGCCACCAGAGGAACATTTGGCAATGTCTAGAGACCTTTTTGGTTTTCACAATTGAATAGGAGATGCTACTTACATCTAGTGGATAGAGATGAGGGATGCTATTTAATACAGTCCACTCTCTAGCCCCCCACAATATGCAATTACGTCCAGCCTGAAATGTCAATGTTGAGCATTACCTAAATAAATGTAAAATTGTGAAGTCTGATTCATTATAGAAAAGTTAATCTTTTGTTACATATTTGAAAGGGTCTTCAGACACACATTAAGATTTATCATTCCAGCCAGGCGCGGTGGCTCATGCCTGTTATCCCAGCACTTTGAGAGGCCAAGGCAGGTGGATTGTCTGAGCTCAGGAGTTCAAGACCAGCCTGGGCAATGTGGTGAAACCTCGTCTTGACCAAAAAACACAAAAAATTGGTCAGGCATGCCGGCACGCACCTGTAATCCCAGCTGCTCAGGAGGCTGAGGCGGGAGGATCACATGAGCCCAAGAGGCAGAGGTTGCAGTGAGCCTAGATTGCGCCACTGTACTCCAACCTTAGAGTGAGACCTTGTCTCAAAAAAAAAAATTATCCTTTTATGGGATCAGTTTGCTTCAAAAAATTGACTTTCAGGCTGGGTGCAGTAACTCAAGCCTGTAATCCCAGCATCTTGGGAGGCTGAGATGGGAGGATTGCTTGAGCCCAGGAGTTCGAGACCAGCCTGGGCAACATAACGAAACTCCATCTCTACAAAATAAAAATTAAAAAAATAACTAGGCGTGGTGGTACACACCTGTAGTCCTAGCTATTCGAGAGGCTGAGGCAGGAGGATCCCTAGAGCCCAGGGGTTCAAGGCTGCAGTGAGCTATGATTGTGCCACTGCTCTCCAGCTTGGGAGACTCCTGCCTTTTAAATTAAAAAAAAAAAAAATTGACTTTCAAGTTGTCCTTATAGTTTGTCAAGATGCCATTTTCCTTGCATTAGTATTAAATCTTATATTTAAGTTCATTAGGACGTATGGAATCCATTTTTTTTCCTTTGATTACCATTTAGATCAGATATTCGTTTGCGGAAAGGCATACAGTCCCTTTAAAATGGGCCTCAGGTGGTTTTTGCATTGAATATTTCCTGAAGCTTGACAAACCTTTAATCTAGATTGAGCTGTTTTTGGTTTGATCTGTTAATCTTAATAAGTAATGATGTTAGAATCACTCCTCATATAGAATAACTTTTTTTTCAGAAATTTCTCCCATTGGACCCTGAATGCAAAGGTTAAAATTTCAGTGTTCTCAGAATTAAAATAAATAAAACTGTATAATACTGAAATCATTATTCTGAATGCTACATGACTACCACAATTTGCTTGGTATAGCCATGTATAACCATTTCTTTTTAAACAAAGGTCAACAATGAAGATCCTTTTCGTTCAGCCACATCGAGCTCTGTCAGCAACGTAGTGATTACAAAAAATGTATTTGAGGAAACATCGGTCAAAAGTGAAGATGAACCCCCAGCACTGCCACCAAAGATCGGAACTCCAACAAGACCCTGCCCTCTACCACCTGGTATGAGAGTTGGTACTTTTCTTCAGTCAACTGCATGGCTTTTCTCTTTCTGAAAAGTATTGTGCGGAACTTACTTATATAAATGGCTTTAAGTGAAACAAGTCAAACATATGTCAGAAGCCTGCTGCTGTCATTCATTCTGACCTAACTGCTGAATTACAGACATGCACTTAAGAAGTCAGCATGTATAAATTTCATGAGCTGTCTTTCTGCTAAGACCTTTTTTCTTTTCTTTTTTTTAACTTAATCATTTCAGAGAGGCAATCAATGGAAAAGGGAAAGTGTCAAGAAAATCTTTTTGCCTTTTGGAAACTCATTGATTATCCATTTGAATAGCAGTTTCCTGTACTTTGGTGTTTTAATTATAATTTATTTAAGAGAAGATTGTTTCAAAGTCCTTTTCCTGTAAAGTATAAAGTCTTCCTTAAATCCTTTAATGTGAGAATATATGGCCTCTTTAGTATCCAGAATTCAGCAATACAGTGATTTGAAACAAAGTATTGGTTTTCTTGAAGGAAAATGGTATTTTAGCTAACTTAAAATATTCCTCTTTTTTTTTTTTTTTTTTGAGATGGAATCTCGCTCTGTTGCCCAGGCTGGAGTACAGTGGCATGATCTCAGCTCACTGTAACCTCAGCCTCCCGGATTCAAGGGATTCTCCTGCCTCAGCCTCCCGAGTAGTTGGGATTATAGGCATGATCCACCATGCCTGGCTAATTTTTGTATTTTTAGCAGAGATGGGGTTTCACCATGTTGGCCACGCTGGTCTCTACCTCCTGACCTCAAGTGATCTGTCCACCTCGGCCTCCCAAAGTGCTGGGATTACAGGTGTGAGCCACTGCACCTGGCCAAGACTCTTTTCTAATAGTGATTTGTTTCTTATTTTTGTTTGTTTCTATGTATAATTAGTATGTGTGTGTATGTATATGTTTAGCACTATACAAAGGAAAGTTTGTTTTGTTTTTAGGTCATAATAAGTGGCTAAAAGGATAATTCCTTGAGTAGTTGTAGTGCTGTTGGGGTATTATGTGAGAAGACACATCTTAGTATATTTTTTTTTAAATCATACCTCATTCCTTGGGAAATTTTCAGTCTCAGTAGTTACAGATTAATATTGCCTTTTCATCATAACCTTTCCATGGTCTTGAGCAGATAGGTTTTTTTTCTTTGACTGAAAGAATTGCATGTACAATTGTAAATATCCGATAATCTGTTGAAAAATCAGGTAAATGAGTTAAGTGATTCCTTCTAAGGAAAGGTAGCTTATGTCATATATTTCTAGAAGTGAGGTTATCAGAATATATTTAAAAATAAATAATGGTTAATTTGCACATTTAAGTTTTTACAACTTGCATGATGCCAATAGTGAGGTTGTTTTTTTAAATCTTAAGTAAAATAATATGCTAGTGTTTTTGCTCAATCTAAGAATCTTCATCCAAGTAATTGTATATCATTGTAAAAAGATTAAGGAAAAGACTGGTTTGTTGGAAAGAGCACTAAACTGGGAGTCTAAATATCTGGGTTCTGTTTCTGGATGTTCCCTGACTAACTATGATCTTAAGTGTATAATTTCATATATCTGACCCTTGGCTATTAAATGTTGGCAGTAATTCTAATTTTGCCTACTTTCACAGGATTATTGGAAGAATCCATTGAGATATGAGCATCTTTTCTAAGCAGCTACAGTGATGGAATCTGTTGTTATGATTGCTATTACCAGCTTATGCATTTTAGGAAAAAAATATATTTGGAGATATTTTGACCCCTATTTTTATTATCTTTTCTTCAAGAAGTACTAAGTTTAAGTAAGACTTAGAGAACTTGTTTGAAAATGGTAATGAATTAGTGAGTGACTAATAGGACAGAATACTATTGTTTGGTCAGAGATTATTTGATCAGCAACCGCAAAGATTTAGGCCCTGGGCTTCAAAACATTTTTTCTTCATTTTGAAATACAGTAAATAACAAAAAATTGGCAGCATTTTACTACGGTAATTTAAAAATTTTATGCTCTTAGGTATTGTATGTAGAACTAGAGAAAAATCAGAAGAATTTTCCCAGTTTTCAGAGGTCATTTGCTCTTACTGCCACTAGTGGATAACTGTTATCAGGCTGAGGGCTGTAACAGCAGAGGCAGGCCATTTCTGTCTTTATTCTTTATTATTCTCCTTCTGTTTAATCCATTCGTCTCTCCTTTTGGGAACATGCTGCTTGGGTGTGGCTAGGGGATGGTGGGATTCAGTCTTTGGACAAAAATATGATTCCTGGCCCATCCTTACTTTGCTATTTGTTTCATTAGCTGCACATAGCTGGAATCTATTTGAGAGATCATGTGTGAAGAATTTGAGGACAAATTGTTGGTGTAGCTATTTAAGACAATATTCAGAATGTGTTTTAGGTACTCAATCATCCTCTACCCACAGTACTTTAATGCTATCTGTGTACATGTTCTTGTGTGCTTGTATTTGCTGTATTTACTGGTTGAATTAATTGTAATGATTTTGATCCAGGGAAAAGATCCATCAACAAATTGGATTCTCCTGATCCCTTTAAACTGAATGATCCATTTCAGCCTTTCCCAGGCAACGATAGCCCCAAAGAAAAAGATCCTGAAATATTTTGTGATCCATTCACTTCTGCTACTACCACTACCAATAAAGAGGCTGATCCAAGCAATTTTGCCAACTTCAGTGCTGTAAGTACTGTGAATGAGCTGTTTGGGGGAGAAATCTTTAAAGAGTTTTCAGAGATTATTTTGGAGTCTGCCAAGTTTGCATCATTTTAACTAAATTTACCAAGATACTAAAAATGATCTTTCATTCTTCCCCCAAGCAAAACCTCTGTTTGATCCTGTTTTGACAGTTCTACGGTTGTTCCATCGCACAGATGATTTTAGTAGTCCCAGTTCTTGTCATATACACAAGTTGTTTTGTAAATCTTTCTCTTAGTCTTGGTAATGTAAGTAAAATCCTAACAGTTATTATTTTGTGGATGGTTATGGGTGATGGTGATTTAATGAACAATTACAGAGTCATTGCTCTCTGCCCACTAGATGAATAATGCCAGTAATAAGTTTGTGTATTTGCAGCTGTGTATGTGTGTTTGTGTATAAAGTTTTAATGATTTCTGGAGACCAGTCAGCAAATATTATATGAGAGGATAGAGCCAGAGATTCTTTGAATAGAAAGTAAAACTATTAAACTTACACAGTAGCTTTTTAAAAATGTAAATGCCAGTTTTATGAAATAAATAAATAAATGGTTGTCAGGATTTAAACAATCTTTATTTGGAGGGCCCTAATTCACTAACTTCTCATGTTTACTCTGCGTTCTTTCAGAGATGTCTAAAATAGGAAGATCGTTAGAAACAGTGGAAGGGTGCCATGATAACAGCATAAGCAGGGCCTATAAAATCACAGAAATGGGGCAACCAACCATGGAGGTATCAGTCTAGAGAGACATAAAGCAATGTCATATATTCCATCATTATTCAGTAAAAAAAGTTATTTTTTAATAAAATTCTTAGACCGGGTAACAAATTTTCAGTTTCACAGTTTTTTCAGGCAAAATAACCTTCGTTATCATTGCCTGTTCTATAAAACAGAGATTTTCTTCTATTTATCACCTTATGCCCTTGAGATGATTTTGGAAATAGATCTAGTGGCCAGGTAACTCTGCCTAATATTTCCCTCCTCAGTGTAGCATTGGGCCATTCAACCAATTGCTTTATTCCTGCAGCTGTTTCTAGTTAGAAGGGAGGTAGTCAAGAATCTGCATGCAGGCCGGGCGTGGTGGCTCACGCCTGTAATCTCAGCATTTTAAGAGGCCAAAGTGCTTTAAGCACCTGTAGTCCCAGCTACTTGGGGGGCTGAGGTGGTGGAGGTTGCAGTGAGCTGTGATCATGCCACTGTACTTCAGCCTGGGTGACAGAGCCAGACCCTGTCTCCAAAAAAAAAAAGAATCTGCATGCAACTAAGACGACTGAGCTCCCAGCTTTTGAATCTGTACTCTAAGTTCTGGTGGCTTCTCTTGACTATGAAGGAGCAAAATAGGAATCAATATTTTGAATATTGTAAAAATGGAGTGCCAGAATTATACTGATTTTTTTTTTTTTTTGAGATGAGTTTTGCTCTTATTGCCCAGGCTGGAGGCGCGATCTTGGCTCACCACAACCTTCACCTCCCAGGTTCAAGCAATTCTCCTGCCTCAGCCTCCCGAGTAGCTGGGATTGCAGGCATACCCACCACACCTGGCTAATTTTGTATTTTTAGTAGAGACGGGGTTTCTCCATGTTGGTCAGGCTGGTCTTGTACTCCTGATCTCAGGCGATCCACCGGCCTCAGCCTCTCAAAGTGTTGGGATTACAGGTGTGAGCCATCGCGCCCAGCCTTACTTAACTTTCCTTTTTTTTTTTTTTTTTTTTAAAGACAGAGTCTTGCTCTGTCGCCAGGCTGGAGTGCAGTGGCGTAATCTCAGCTCACTGCAACCTCCACCTCCCAGGTTCAAGCAATTCTCCTGCCTCAGCCTCCCAAGTAGCTGGGACTACAGGCACGCACCACCACACCTAGCCAATTTTTGTGTTTTTAGTAGAGACGGGGTTTCACCATGTTGGCCGGGATGGTCTCGATCCCTTGATCTTGCAATGTGCATGCCTTGGCCTCCCAAAGTGATGGGATTACAGGGGTGAGCCACCGCATCCAGCCCGACTTAACTTTCATTAGATGGAATTTGATTTGTTTCAAGCAGAGAATCAAAAATTGGCCTTTTTAGAAGGTTATAATTCTCTTAGTGTAAAATAACCCTCTGGTAGTTTGTGGCATTTAATATCTTAAGTATGGTTTTAGCAAGTCAAACTCTTGTTGGGGCCAGACGGGGTGGCTCACACCTGTAATCCCAGCACTTTGGAAGGCCGAAGCGGGCGGATCACTTGAGGTCAGGAGTGTGAGACCAGCCTGGCCAACATGGTGAAACCCCGTCTCTACTAAAAATACAAAAATTAGCCAGGCATGGTGGCGCATGCCTGTAATCCCAGCTAGGGAGGCTGAGGTGGGAGGATCACTTAAGCCCCAGAGGCAGAGGTTGCGGGAGCTGATATAGTGCCACTGTCCTCAAGCTGAGTTACAGAGCGAGACTCCGCCTCAAAAAAAAAAAAAAAAACAAAAAAAAACAAATCTGGTTGGAAGGAGTCTTGAACAACAGCTGAGGCATTTTGCTCCAAAATCTCAATATAGTATAATAAAAAACAGCTTATAATAAGAACATCTTCTTTTTTCATTGTGAAAGATGTGGTTAAGCATTACACGTTTCAAAGTTTTGCTTAATTCCCTAGGGAAAAAAACTACCATTTCAAAAGCCTGACAGTGTATTTTATTTCATCCTTTCATGAAGGATTTTCTATGTAACAAGACTTGAAACCAATTAGAATTTTTAATTTAGTATTTGCCAAGGTTGCTGTTTGGGGTAGATAAAAATATTTCCCCAACATAATAATTATGAGTGTTAAGATTTTATTTAGACTGGTCTAAAAGTTCCCAAAGCCTGGAGAAATCTTCATAATGCTTTTTGTTTTATTTTTATTTTTTTTGGCTCACTCCGTCGATCTGGCTGGAGAGCGGTGGTATGATCACAGCTCACTGCAGCCTCAACTTCCCAGGCTCAGGTGATCCTCCCAGGTAGCTGGAACTACAGATGTGCACCACCACACCTGGCTAATTTTTTTTGTAAAAACAGAGTTTTGCCATGTTGCCAAGATGAACTTCTTGAACTTCTGAGCTCAAGCAATTGGCCCACACCCACAGAACTAGGATTACAGATGTCAGCCACCATGCCTGGCTCAAAATGCTTTTTATAAAATATGATTAGGTTCTTGGGAGGCCGAGATGGGCGGATCACCTGAGGTCAGGAGTTCGAGATCAGCCTAACCAACATGAAGAAACCCTATCTCTACTAAAAATACAGGATTAGCCGGGCGTGGTGGTGCATGCTTGTAATTCCAGCTACTCGGGAGGCTGAGGCAAGAGAATCGCTTGAACCCGGGAGGCGGAGGTTGTGGTGAGCCAAGATTGCTCCATAGCACCCAGCCTGGGCAACAAGAGCGAAAACTCTGTCTCAAAAAAAAAAAAAAAAGATTAGGTTTAAATCACATCTTGCTTAGTATACCCAATACTTTAATATGATGTATAGCAAAATCAGCTTTTTTTTTTTTTTCTTGCTTCTTAGCTTTTTTACACATTAAGGGTTAGGAAACTACCAGTGGGATTAAATTAAAAATGATTTGTTGTGTGAGGGTCTCAGTAAAGTTGAAGTGGTAAATATTTTACATTACATTAGGTCAAAAAGGCTAGCCCTGTCCTGTTTTTAAATCTTCTAATCTACTATAAGCATTTCTACTTTTTTTAGTGAGATATATATATATATATATCACATTTAAAAAAAAAAAATATATATATATATATATATATATATATATATATATTTTTTTTTTTTTTTTCAGATGGAATCTCACTTTGTCACCCAGGCTGGAGTGCAGGGGTGCATTTTCGGCTCACTGCAACCTCTGCCTCCTGGGTTCAAGTGATTCATGTGCCTCACCCTCCCAAGTAGCTGGGATTACAGGCACCACCACCATGCCCAGCTAATTTTTGTATTTTTAGTTGAGAGCGAGTTTTGCCATGTTGGCCAAGCTGGTCTCGAACTCCTGACCTCAGGTGATCCACCTGCCTCAGCCTCCAAAGTGCTGGGATTACAGGCATGAGCCACCACATCTAGCCTAGTGGCATTTTTAACATTTAGTTTTATAGACTTTCTATCTATAGATTGAATTAATTTTTTAAATTAAACTATAGCTTAATAACTGGTTAATATTAAACATGTTTTCAGGGGGAAAAAAAAAAGAATTAACAAGTAACCAGACTATTTCCAGAGTCCTTCAGGTGTCCTTTTGTAAAAACTATTTTTCCTTCTTTTTACTTGCTTTACTCATTTATTTATTCGTTTGTTCATCGATCTTTTAAATGGCAGTATCCCTCTGAAGAAGATATGATCGAATGGGCCAAGAGGGAAAGTGAGAGAGAGGAAGAGCAGAGGCTTGCCCGACTAAATCAGCAGGAACAAGAAGACTTAGAACTGGCTATTGCACTCAGCAAATCTGAGATATCAGAAGCATGAAGAATTCTCTTGTTCTTTGGCAACAATATAGTATTCTTCTTCCTGAATACTGAAACTATTTACAATGTGTATCAAAACTACCTGTGAGCATGGGAATACAAAAGGTTTGAGATTCCTGTAAATGTGACAAAATTTTAGGATTTTTTTTTTTTCTTCATTACAGATTCGTCTTTTTTTTTTTTTCTTATAAAAGCCGTAACCCAGTCAGACAAATTCACCTTCACTTAGGCCCCTGTTCTGGTATACATTTACTGTGAGCTTTTGCCTGCCTGTGCTATTTTACTTGTAAAGCTAGAGCACCCAAGCTTCTGCCTTCTGGAATATAGAGAAATAGTTTCACCCTGCACTACCCTGTTCTGTAGTTATTCTGATGATAGCCAGTGAGGTTCTTAAAGTTTGCAGTATTCTCCCCTGATTGGAATGGTTGAGTGAGGGTAAGGGAAAGAATATCTTATTTCTTTTATGATTGGTGCAAATTGGCTAAAGTGCATTTTTAAATTTCCTCTACTTAATTTGTTTTTCAGAGATAAGGAAAAATATTTTGCACAGATTTACTCCACTATGGAAAAGGGATGCTGTAGGTTGAACCATTATAGCCTCAGATTCGATCTTTTCCTAACTAAAAATATTAAAGCCTCATGTGTGAAATAAATTTTTAAAAAGATTTATCTGGATTTAGAGAATTTTAGATCAACAGATACCTCTCAGTGTGTTTGCTAATTAATAAAAATCAGTTTCTTACAAATAAAGTTTGTAAGAAAATGTTCATTTTAAGTGATAGATAGTGGAGAAAATTTATCACCTAAAATATACCCATCAGTATAAGGCAAGCAAAAGTCTTAACATGGCAGCCATTCTGCCTTTGCCGTGGCCCTGTCCTGTTTAGTTCTTAGTGGGTTAATTTTTGTACTTTTGCAGAAGAAACTTCAGCAAGCTAGAACTGGAAGGTACTTTAATTTTTCATATATATTTGTTTTTTTTTTTTTAATGAAGGCTCATTTACTTGAAATGTAAAAACTTTCACTGAATACAAATAGAAAAAGTGATGTGTTTTATATCATATTGCTTTTTGTCCATCTTTGTGGTTTAGTTTATTTACTCACTTCATGTTTTTCACCTATAAAATTGTCAAGCTAGCAAAAAAACTCTTGTTTTTTTAATTGGGAGAGAAGAGACCTGCCAGATTATCAGACCTCTTCATGTTAAAAGACCATCTCCTGTAAAACTGACCTAGTGGACAAGCTGAATTTGAAATAGACTGTGAAGTAAGCTGTAACTTGTCATTTTAATTTTGTTTAACACGGTTACTGACTTAGATGATGTATTAAATACCAAGATAAAGAAAAATGCACCTAAAATCTAATTAGAATTCTCTGGGTCAACAAGTCAAGGTGGTATTGATCTGTGTTAATCTGAGTAACTTATTGCCTAGCCTATAAATAAATTCCAAAATATCCAATTCATTTCTTCTTGAAATGGTGCTTGTTTTGTTTTCTTTCCATTACACAATTAGACTCCTACAGTTTAAAACAAACTTTAAACCACTATCTTGCACTGCTAACTTTTTTCTACCTTTGTAAATAGAAACATTTCTGCATAAAAGTCATACATATGAAGCAAGGGCTGAATCATAATCACAAGGCTTAATTTTGATAAACGAATCCAGTGACCTAAGGATTTTCTGCAAAATTTGACTGGGAGTTGTGATAGGTGGTATTTTTGTTTATTTTCTTCCTCTTACTCCTTAGGATAAAGGTAAGTTGACTTGAACAACTTTCTTTTGCACTGGGAAAATAAGCAAATGTTTAAATGCTTCAAAAAAATTTTCAATTAAACTCAAATATTAAATATCTATAACTTATAAACACCAACTTTCAATGTAATAAATGTATCCTAATCTTATGTATGTTTAACTGGATTACATAGATTTTTATCTTTTGTTAAAATGTGTATACCCCGTGGACCAACATAATATTAAAGTATGTATATATTATATAAATATATATGTATATGTGCTCGCTTGTGTAGGATGAATGTCTTAGAGTCGTTTGTGGTATTTTATGTTGTTGACTCTGGCTCCAGGGCCTGTGCTTGAAAAGGACAGATAAGTATTGCCCAGAGCTAAGTGGCACTACTTACAAAGTTTTAAATGTCTTCTACATACTGATTCATGTTTATTTGAGCTCTCTTTATAGAATTTTCTCTTAAAGTTTCAAACCTCTAAGTTGTAGCCTGTAATTATGAGAACAGTAAACTTTAAGTAATAATAAAGAATCCCATCCATATATCCAATTTGCAATTGAGTTTTGCATGGTTCTCTGATTATGTCCATGCTGTGTCCAAGGAGGAGTAGGTACATACAATCAGCACAGATTAATATATGTAAAGGGTTTGGGACAGCACCTGGTATAGAATAAATAATAAATGTAAACTATTATTTTTGGTTATCATGTCGTGCTTTTATGAAAGAAATGAAATGTATATGCATAAAGACAGTGCCTAAAACATAAGAATTTGTAGGCAGGACACAGTGGCTCGCGCCTGTAATCCCAGCACTTTGGGAGGCCAAGGTGGGCAGATCACCTGAGGTCAGGAGTTCGAGAACAACCTGGTGAACATGGTGAAACCCCGTCTCTACTAAAAATACGAAAAAATTAGCAGGCATAGTGGCTCGCTCCTGTAGTCCCAGCTACTCGGGAGGCTGAAACAGGAGAATTGCTTGAACCCAGGAGGCAGAGGTTGCAGTGAGCCGAGATCACACTACTGGACTCCAGCCTGGGTGACAGAGTGAGACTCCGTCTCAAAAAGAAAAAAGAATTTGTCACTGGGCACAGTGGCTCATGCCTGTAATCCCAGCACTTTGGGAGGCTGAGGTGGGAGGATCCCTTGAGCCCAGGAGTTTGAGACCAGCCTGGGGCAACATGGTGAGACCCCGTCTCTACAAAAAAAATACAAAAATTAGCCAGGTGCGGTGGTGCGTGTCTGTAGTCCCAGCTACTGGGGGCTGAGGTGGGAGGATCGGTTGAGCCCAGTGAGGCTGCAAGAAGCTGGGATTGTGCCACTGTACTACAACCTAGGCAACAGAGCAAGACCCTGTCTCAAAAAAAAAAAACATTGTGCTTGTAATCCCAGCACTTTGGGAGTTCAAGGTGGGTGGATCTCCTGAGGTCAGGAGTTCAAGACCAACCTGGCCAACATGGTGAAACCCCTGTCTAATAAAAAATACAAAAATTAGCCGGGCATGGTGGTGGGTGCCTGTATTCCCAGCTACTTGGGAGGCTGAGGCAGGAGAATTGCTTGAGCTTGGGAGGTGGAGGTTGCAGTGAGCCAAGACTGTGCCACTGCACCCCAGCCTGGGCAACAGAGTAAGACTCTGTATCAAAAAAAAAAAAATTGTGACATGGACTTTTGGAAGGCACTGTGTTCTGAAAAACTCATACAGTACTGGGACTGAATCTCTTTCTGCCATTTTTGAGGATGTAATGTAAAGATGATTTTGAGAAAGTTATTTCGCCTCCCTGAACCTCATTTTCCTCATGTAATGTACATCACAGTACTTAACTCACAGGATTGTTGTAAAGGATTTAGCTTTGATAACTTTTTATTATTTATTTTAAATAAGCAAATTCAACCACAGTATTACTAATAGTGAAAAGAGCTGTTGGTTGTTGAATGTACATTATATATGAAGCACTCTACTAGGCATTTTATGTGTGTCTTCTTGTTTCTTGTTTAATCTTCACAATACCTCTAAGTAGTAGATATTGTTGTTAGCCCCTGTTTTAGAAATGGAGAAACTGAGTCTCAAAAACCTTAAAATAATGTGCTTCAAATCATCCAGCTGATGAGAAGATGAGCCAGGAACTGAACCTGGTCTGTCTAGTCCTAAGTGTGATACTCTCAGTTTACCATGCTTTGTTTTATTTTGTGTGAAAAAAAAATTTACTTATAGGAAATGGTAGGAACAGGACATCATAAATAACAATAAATAACATTTATTAAGCTCCAGGCATGATCCTAAATGCTTTACTATTAATTTATTTAATCCTCACAATAGTAACCATGAAAGGTACAGGTACTATTATCTTCTCCATTTTACAGAGGAGGAACCCAAACTAGGCCACAGTTATGCAGCTAGTAAGTGGTAGAGCTGGAATTTGAACCTAGGAGATGGGCTCCAGAGTTTTAACCACTACTCTGTATTCCTGTTAATGATGAGTAGTCAGAGGAGCAGTGTCACAAAAGAAATAATCCATGTAATCACTGTTCTTGAGGATTAATGGAATAAACCTATATTATACATGGCATCTTATAAAACATTTTCCCATTCATTCTTGTATTTAACTCGTATGAGGGTTTAGAACAGTTTCTGACACATGAAAGCACTTACGATTATTAGTGTTATCATAAGTGATAAGTATATGGGGGGAGTAGCCAGCCTTGCTTTTAGTTTTTCTTTTTTTGTAGAGACAGAGTCACATTCTGTTGCCCAGGCTAGAGTGCAGTGGCACAGTCATAGCTCACTGTAACTGTGAACTCCTGAGCTCAAGGGATCCTCCCGCCTCAGCCACCCAAGTAGCTAGGACTATAAGTGCATGCCACTGGACCTAGTTAGTTATTTAGTAGAAATAGAGGTCTCACTGTGTTGCCCAGGCTGGCCTTGAACTCAAGTGATACTCCCTCCTCAACCACCCAAAGTGCTGGGATTATGGCTCAGCCCAACCTTGTTTTAAATACAAGATTTAAAACCAAAAGGCTAGAAAAAATGAAAACTAATTTATCAGTACTGACAAGGCTCTGGCAAGAGTACATAAAAAGGGAGGCAAAGTAAGTTGTGAAGAGTTTGAAGTAGCTCAGTGTGACTAGAGTGTAGGTTTGTGAGCAAAAGACTGAGGTGTTTGTGTTTATAAGAAATATCTCATTGGTGGTGATTTGGGGAATTGCCTTAGAAGAAAATCAGGTAAGGCAGGGAGAGCAGGTGGAAGATTGTTGCAGTCATGCAGGTGAGATGGTAAGAACTGAAAATGTGGTTGTGGCTGGGACTGAGAGAAGGGGACCAATTTGAGAAAGATTTAGGAGAATTAACAGGCCTTGAGGTCTGATTAGATGTAGGTGGTAAGGGGAAAGGAGTACACAAAATGTAGCAAGCAATAGGATCACCTGGAGGGCGTATCAAACTACAGATTGCTGTACTCTAGCCCCAGAATTTCTGATTCAGTAGGTTGTAGAGTTGGACCCCCAAATTTACATTTCTAACAGGTTCCCAGGTGATGGTGATGTTGACTCAGGGGCCTCACTTTGAGAACCACTAGAGTAGATGATAACTAAGTCTCTTTTGTTAGCAAGTTTTATTAAGTCCATTCATTTACTCTGCAGTGCTGTTGCAGAGTACCTTGTCATTCTATACTTGACCTGTGGATTCTGCTTCTTGGTAACATCTAATCTTTCTTATGGATAGACACTTTTTGAAAATAATAATTGCAGGCTGGGCATGGTGGCTCATGCCTGTAATCCCAGGACTTTGGGAGGCCGAGGTGGGCAGATCACTTGAGGCCAGGAGTTTGAGACCAGCCTGGCCAACGTGGTGAAACCCCGGCTCTACTAAAAATACAAAAATTAGCTGGGCATGTTGGTGCATGCCTGTAGTCCCAGCTACACTCGGGAGGCTGAGGCAGGAGAATCACTTGAACCCTGGAGATGGAGGCTGCAGTGAGCCAAGACCACGCCACTGCACTCCAAACCTGGGTGACAGTGAGACTCTCTCTCCAAAAATAAAAATAATAATTGCAAGTTAGCACTTATATAGTACTTAGTGCCCAGTACTATTTAAAGTACTTTATATATACTGATTCATTTAACCTCCATAACATGCTTTTAAGTTAGGTACTGTTATTCCCAGTTTACAGATGAGAAGGCTGAGAAGTACAAGAGGTTAAATAACTTGTCCAAGATCACTGAGCTAAAAAGCACCAGAGCTAGGATTCAAACCCAGGTCCAGGCAGTCGGCTGAGCATGGTGGCTCATGCCTGTAATTCTAGCACTTTGGGAGGCCAAGGCGGGTGGATCACCTGAGGTCAGGAGTTCCAGACCAGCCTAGCCAATGTGGCGAAACTCCGTCTCTACTAAAAATACAAAAAAAATTAACTGGGCATGGTGGCGAGCGCCTGTAATCCCAGCTACTTGGGAGGCTGAGGCAGGAGAATCGCTTGAACCAGGTGTGGGGGGTGGGTGGGGTGGAGGTTGCAGTGAGCCGAGATCACGCCACTTCACTCCAGCCTGGGCAAAAGAGCGAAACTCCGTCTCAAAAACCCCAAAAAACCCAGGCATTCTGACTTGAAAATCCGTGTTCAATTACTCTGTTCTGCTGGAAAAAAAAAATACATTAAGATACTTTTTTTCTTGTATGCATGGATCTATGATGTACCTTTTACTTCCAGAAAGGTCTCTATTGTCTTAGTTTTGAAAATGCACAGTGAAAAAGTCATTATTCTATTGACCTTTGCTAAGAACTGTTGCGTGGGCCAGGGACAGAGAAGACTCATATGAGGGCCTTGCCATTAGTGGTATAGTAGGAAAGATAGGCATCTACTTACATAATTTCACAGCATTGCGTACTGAGGATACTGTAGGAGTGCTGGGATGCCCAGAGCAGGGAGAGAATAGTTCTAGCTGAGAGGATTGGGGAAGTCTTCCCAGAGGAGGTGTCCCCAGAAGATAGTATTCTGTTCCTTACTAGCATTACTAAAAAACACACATGGTGACAGTTGGAATTTTTTGTTAAAAACACAGCTCTCACAAGGCCGCATCATTTGATGTTAGGGCTGTGTTCACTGGAAAAGGCCAGCAGTCTCCTAGGAGGCCTCATTTAAGTAGCATTCATTACTTGAGTGAATTAAGCCTGGTCCAACATCTGACCTTCAAGTTTAGAAACCTGATTTTCATCAATAAAACAGAGACAGATCTCTATTAAGAAATTTCACAGGGACTGATAGACCAGAATGTCACTTTCCAGTAAAAATAAAGTTGTCACAGGGCTTGGAGTGCCCACAATTGGTTGAACATGACTCCTCCCTTGCTGGTGGTTGGATACCTCCTCTCTCTGAGGCGCCGCTTGATCTTTGCAGCCAGGGATGCCTGGGCCCCTCTCATGGACACGTTTTTCAGATTAATATCTTTAATCAGGTTAGAGTCTGGTTTGGCTGGTCGGGTAACTATAATGCCTCTTTGGGGTGACTTTGCATATCTTTGCTTTGATCCATTATATGTAAATTTTTCAGTATGTTAATGAGCATCATTTTTAAAATCATTAAATAGAATTCATTATTGAATATGTACTGGGTCACAAAATAAAATGTTTGAAAGCCATTTATTTTTTAAAATCTCTCCAGAGGAATGTAAGTCCTAATGTTATGTATCCAGGTGAATGATATAAAAGATTATCTCATGGGAGGGGGGGAATCTACAGAAAGACCCCACCCATTTTTCCTTCCCCACTGCACTAAGTGTATAGAATGTGTGCAGCTGCCTGAGACCTAAGGGCTTAGTTACAGCCTCTCCTTTCTGTTTCCTCTGGAGTCAGAACTTGAAAGGATTGAGTTAGTTTGTGGGAAGGAAAATAAATGGGAAAAAGCTGACACTTACTGGGGACCTTCTCTGAGCCTGGCACTAAGGTCCTTAATATATGTATAATTTATTCTTCATGACTCTTAAATAGAAAATATGAGGTATAGAGAGATGGAAGCGATTTGGCCAAGAAACCCCAACCTAGGAAAGGTTCACAGCTGGACAAGCCAGGTTCCAGCCCAGGTGCCTCAGCTGTGAGACTTACTCTTCTACCACACTAGACTGCCTTTTGCTCTCTACGGCTACTTATGCTCTAAGGACTGCCCTTAAGAGCAGGTGTGCAAGACTCAGCAACCTAGGCCCTCATCGAGCACAGTGGAGACCCCACACCCCTCCAAGGCTCTATAAGACACACAGGAGAGACTGAACTGAACTACTTGCTCAGCCTATGGGCCTTTTAATGATGATTGGACTTTTCAGGACTGAGACAACCCTGATTTGTTCTCCTCCAGATTGTGGGCCTCTACATGAGTTGAAGATCCTTCTAGGCACTGTGACATATAGAGACCTGGATGGGGTAGAGGCTGTACTTAATTGAATCAAAACTCTGGACCTAGAATACATAGAAGCAGGTTAGGAGCCCTCCACCCTTGCTCCCTTGTAGCATGCTGCCTTAACCATACACAAGCAAAAGAAAACCCTGATGCATCTCAGCTTCCTGAGCAGGTTCCTGGCCTTGTAGAGGGAATCCAGACCTTGGAGTTTTATAAACATGGGCCTAACTTCTGGTCTTACCATTTCCTAGCTGTGTGTTTTTGGGTAAATCTGTTAACCTCTCTGGTCCTCAGGGATAACAGTTCCCTTGCAGGGTTGTTGCCAGGATTAAAAATGATAGATACAGGTTGGGTGTGGTGGCTCATGCCTGTAATCCCAGAATTTTGGGAGGCCCAGGCAGGAGGATTGCTTGATTCCAGGAGTTCCAGACCAGTCTCGACAACATAGCAACACTTTGTCTCTACCAAAAAAAAAAAAAATTAAAAATTAGCCAGGCATGGTGGCATGCACCTGAAGTCCTAGCTCCTCAGGAGACTGGGGTGGGAGGATCACTTGAAGCCAGGAGTTCGAGGCTGCAGTGAGCTGTGATCACACCACTGCACTCCAGACTGGGCAACAGAGCGAGACACTCTGAAAAAAAAAGATGATGGATACAAAGTCATGGTTTCTGTTACATGGCAGATACACACTAAAAGCTGCCATGCCCATGTTTAAAAAGACAGAAGAGGTAACAATACATTTTCGAAAAATGTGAATCTGAATAAAGGGGATAAACTTCAGTTGTCTTGAAAGTTCATTTATATAGAACACTTCATTGCCCTCTGATTCTGGATAAAACTATCACTATACGAGGTGCAGGTAACACACACTATGTGTCCAGCACTGTTCTGTTTTGCTTGCATTAAATCCTTACAACAACCCTTGTAATAGGTGCTGTTATCCTCATTTTACTGATAAGAAAATGACACAAAGAGGTTGAGTAACTTGCCTGGTTGTGCAGATACCTAGTGGTGGGGCCAAGATTTTAACCTAAGCAGTGTGGCTCCAGTGGAAGGGAGGATGGGAAGAATAAAACTGATTCTACCTTGGGTTTATTACATGATTCAAAATAAGCTTGAAAAAGTGGCTTGTAAATGCTTTGTGCATCTAATAGCTTGCGTGGCAGGAAAACTAGGGCTAGGGTTAAGATATACATTCTCAAGTCGGGCTGTGTGTGTTGAGTCCTAGCTCTGCCACTTAACTAGTTTGTGTGATCTTGAGCAAATTAATTCCTACCTGCCTCACTTTTTCAACTATAAAATTGGGATTGTAAAAGAACATACATGTTAGGATTATTTTGAGGACTAAATGAGTTGGCACATGTGAAGAGTTTAAAATAGTGCCCAAGTAACATAATTCTAAACAGATGAGGAAGAAGAATAAGAAACAAGCCTTGAAGTTTAAGAACCCCGGGATTGAATCCCAGCTCCTGATTTGATCTTAGGAACATTTCTAAACTTCTGACCCAAATATTCTTAAAACAGTTGTCTAGATTAGAGGTAGATACGTAAAGGCTCTCTGCATAGTGCCTGCCATTGGGTAGAAGCTTGATAGGTATTAGCTCCTTCTTTATTTACTCACCATTGAGTACCTACTATGTATAGCAATAGTGCTGAGCTCTGTAGAAGACACATGAGATACTATCTGTACCTTCAGAGAGAAATCTGAAATACCATTGTAAATAACTTATACAAGGATTTTAAAATATGTAATGCTAAATGCTGTGAGAGAGACAAAATGTATCCTCTGAAAACGGAGAGACCGCTCTGATGGGGAGATCCTGGATGGCTTCCTGGAGGAAGTGGTGCTGGCTGTGGGCTGACAGGCTCGGTGAGATTAATCCTCTTAGTAAACTGGGCTCTGGGCCCATAGAAGGTCAGGCTTCTGAGGTCCTGTGGCTCTTCTTGCCTGCGAACCCAGGAGAAAGTTGGCTAAGTGCTCAGTGCTGGCCAAGCTGGACAAGGCTCTGGACTAAGGGGTTTGGGTCCCTGGGCATACTGTAACTGGATTTTCCAGATTTAGAAGCTCTAGCTTTGTGATCAGATAAGCAGTATTCCCCGGCCCTTGTTGATCTGCAAAGACCATGATATGAGTGAAAGGTCATATGTTCTCTGCTGCCTACCAGGGAAGAGTGAGAGAAATTGCCCAGATGGTCCTTAGAGCCTCTGCCCTCTGGGCAGCTTTGCCCAGGGCCTCCCACTCCGTGCTCAGCCCACCCATGGTCCATAGGCAGGGTGGGAGGAAAGCACCAGATTGGGCAGAGAAGCCTGGGTGTAAGACCTGACTTCACAACTTGGTTTCAGGAAAGGTCGTTCACCCCTCTGAACCTGTTTCATCAACTGTAAAATGGGGATGAGTGAGTATGTAACAAGATGCAGATAAATAAGAATTGGTGTAAACTGCCTGGCTCAGGGCTTGACACATGAGAGAACACCTGACATGTGAAAACCAGTCACCACTTATTGGACACGAAATTTGTATTGCACAAGTACCTAGGATACAGACCCAGCCCAAAAGGAAACAAAAATGGGCCTTAGCCACCCTGCCCCTGCCCTGTGTTCAACCCCCACCTTCTCTGATGAGCTAAATCTCCAGGGGTCCCTGAATCCATTCTTCACACTGGAGCTGGAGCAGGCCTTCTCAAATGCCTCCTCACGGTGCTCCCCTGCTCCTTGTCCTTAGTTGGGCCTCCCATAAAAGCCCCTGGACTGCACGCCAGGGGATCCCCTTGCTCCAGAGCTGATTCTGCTTGGTGGTGGTAATTTAAAATAAAAACCAAAAATGTACGCAGCCTAAGATGAAATGTGGGGCTTCAAAGAAAGTTTACACTGGAGATGGGGCGGTGGCTCATTCTCCTCTGTCCCCCGACCTGCCACGGGGTACTGGACTCATAAGTCGGTGAAGTGGGTCACTCCAGGGCCTGGCCTGGCCTGCAGCCTCCACCCTCAGGCCCAGACAGCTGCTCTCCACTTCCCTGCCCATCAGCCCCCTGCTGCTGGTGCTCTGTGCCCAGCATTTGACTCGGTCCCGAGCTTCTGACCCCATTCCGGCGAGGCCCTAGCAAAGCTGGCTCTGTATGTAGGGAGGAGGGAACAGGGTTGGTGGTGCTGCTATGTCCCGCAGGGACCCTGGTAAGGCCATCGTGTGGCCCGTCAGTTTGGAGGCTGGGCTCTGGACCGAGTGGGACCGGCCGCTGGCCCCCTTGTGACCTTGGACAAAGCCTGGAGCTCCGTTTCTCCCGGTGCCCAATGAGGGGTTTCAGAGTGTTTGGGGTCCTTTCTGGTTCTGGGTGGGAGTGGGCTTGCCCAGGGACCTCAGGCCCGCTCTAGGGACACTTAAGCCCTTCCACTTTGGGGCAGGGAGGCGCAGGTCCAGGGCGGGGAGGAGCCACGGGTCCCGCCCTGCCCGCCCCGTCCAGGTGCTGCCACTGTAGCCTCCACGGCCGCCGCCGCCGCCGCGAGGGGCCGCCCGCGGCCCCGTCCGAGCCCGGCCCGCGCCCATGGCCTTTCTGACCACCTGGAAGGAGGCGGCCTCCGGGAAAAGCGACCGCAGGTACCGGGCAGGGGTGGGGACTCGGCGGAAGGCGCGGACGGGACCAAGGGGCCGCCGGAGGACCCAGCCGACGTCGGGGAAACAGCTGAGAGGCACAGCTGGGGAAAGGGTGTGTGGCTGCTGGGCGTGGGGGTCGGCCGGAGGCCCGAGAGGGGCAGCGCCGCGCGCCCCCTGCTCTCTGTCCTCGCCCCCAGCAGGGCGGGAACTGGGGAGGGTAGACGCGGTCCCACCTGAGCGCCGCTCAGTGTCGCAAGACGCGGGCTATCTGCGAAGTCAGCTCGGTGAGAAGGACCTCAGGTGGGGCTGGCGGTCAGGTTTGGGCAGCGGCGTCTGCGCTCAACCCTCCATCCTCTCACCTGGTTCTCCTCAGGTCTGCATGAGCCAAGTGTGGGCACGCTGTGTGCCCGGACAGATGAAGCCAGGGCTCTGTGTGCTTGAGGGGTTGTCCACATCCGAGGAGCAGGTGGGGGAAGTCCTGGGTTCCAGTCCCAGTCCAGGGTGAATTATGTGCACCCCAGCTCCTCCAAGGCGAGCCCTCCAGGGTGTGTCAGCCACCTCCCTAGCTGACCCTACCTCCGGGATAAGTTAGTGCGCCCCAGTTGTGTTCCTGTGAGAGGGGACCACAGCCCTGACCTCTCTTCTGAGGTTCAGCCCTCCCCGCATATTTACATCTTCTGAGGTTCAGCCCTTCCCTTCATATTTACATCTTTAAAGTTCACCCTGCTGTGCCAGGGAAAGGGCAATCCAACTGTCCTCCCAACACCTCCATCTGACTGTCCTATGAACACCTCAAACTTGGCAAGCCCCAAACTTGTTCCTCCTCCGGTGTCCCCGTGTCAGTGAATGGTCATCCACCCAGTTGCCCAAGCCCGAAACCTGGGAGTCATCCCTGACACCTCCCTACCTTTCTCCCACCCCCGTCTACAAGTCCTGTTGATTTTACCTCCCAACTTCTCTCAAAGCTGTTTATTCTCATTGGACTATTGCATCAGGCCCCCTTCCCCAGCTCCTCCTGTCTCTCCCTTTCCACACATCCTTTCTAAAGCACAAACCAGACCAAGCCATTTTCTGCTTTAACACCCTTCCATAGGCTAGGCGTGGTGGCTCATGCCTGTAATCCCAGCGGGAGGATCGCTTGAGCCCAGGAGTTTGAGAGCAGCCTGGGCCACATAGCAAGACCCTATCTCTATATAAATAAAGGAAAAAACATTAAAGAAAATAAAACCCTTCCATGGCTCTCCACCACCCTTTGGTGACTCTCATTCAGCCTTTCAGCACACATTGTTGAGCACTTGTGTGCTGGGCCAGCACTGTACTAGGCACTGCAGGTATGGTGTTACTTCAGATATACAGGTCCTGCTCTTGGCAACCAGGTTCTAGTAAGAGAGACATAAACAAGTAGACAAGTAAACATCAGAAATAGATGCTGGGCGAGGCATACAATAAGGCAATGTTATGCCCAGTAAAATTGGCAGTGCTGAAGCATTGCAGGCAGGATAGCTCACATCAAACCCTGAGCTGTGTCTGAGAAGAAAGGAGGGAGAGTGATGGAAGATCACTGAGACCCAGGAAGCAGGCTGGCCAGAACAAACAGGACCAGGAATTTAGGTTTCACTGTGTGGTGGGAAGCCACTGGAGGGCTTTAGCAGGGCATTTACTTATTTAAAGCTGACCACGCTGTCCTACGGAGAAAGGATTTTTGTGGACAGACGATTTCAATGCTGGATCACTGTCACCTCCTCCTTTTCTGTTTCTCCACTACTTATGGAAAGGAGACAGGGCTCATTTGTCCCCATGTTCCCAGAGCACAGCACATAATGGGGCTCAGAGTGCATTTCAGTTTTGATGAGGACATGGGATGATTTCTGAGGAGCACGAGATCACTTGGCCACATGGCTTTCTTGCCTTCCAGGACCTTCCCTGCCTGGGAGAATCCAGTTGTGCATCGTCCTGTGGGCACCAGGGAGCCTTCGGGGTCTCCCGTGTATGTATGTTACACACCTCTCAGTGTGCAGGGAGAGCAGAGGGGAGGCTGGCGTGGTGGTCCAGGAGAGAGATGCTGGGGTATGGGTTAGGAGAATGGAGGGAATGGGAGGTAGACGCTAAGAAGGAAGAAATGAGAAGCAGTGAATGGACAGGCTGAGGAGAAGGTGTAGGGGTGGCCTCTGGTCAAGCAGAGGCCTCTGCATCCCCCAGTGGGCCTGTGTGAGGAAGTGCATTGTGAGCCTGCACACATGCGCCTTTGTGCTTCAGCTGGAACTTGCTGGGCACAAATACCCAGAGAATTCTTTACTCCCAGTTGACCACACAAGGTCTCACACCCAAGGCTCAAACCTGGGTCTCCATTCTCCCAGCTCAGGCCCTGTGACCGCTCCACCCTCACCCCTCGCCCACCACACCACCCTGTGTCCCACAGCATAGCCAAGGGCAAAGAGTTTGGCAGGGGGGATGGGGATGTGGAGGGGTGCTCAACCCCTGCTCTGCCGCTTACTTACTGGCTCTTTGACATTGATTCATTGTTTGATCTGTGTGAGCCTCAGTTTCCTCAGCTGTAAAATAATAGCTACTCTCTGAGCTGTGGAAAGATCTATTGAAGTCATTTGTAAAGGACCTAACAGTCACTGGGGCATATTCGGTGTTCACTTCTTTCTCGGTACTGTTATGAGGTAATCTTCCTTCCAGGGTATTTGCATTGAGCAGAGGGGATTCTGAAAGGCTTCAGAGTCAATGGTGGGATTCCAGGCACCAGGATTGGGTAGCTGGGAACTGCTGGGAAAAGGAAAGGGGACTGTTCCTAACGCCCATGCATCTTACAATGGGGACCGCACCCTACTCAGCCTACAAATCAGGCCCTTCTTAGCCATACCATAGCCCCCACTTGTGGTAGGAGACAGCACCAAAAATAAAAGGGGATGTGCAGATGGGCAGATTGCTTTAGAGAGAGTAATTGAGTGGCAGATCTGCTGTGGGAGGGAGGGGCCTCCTCAAGAATGGAGAGGCCCAGCCAAGGAGGCTGGAGGCCTGCTAGGACTGCTGTAGTCAGAATTCCTGCTCTTGGTTTCAGCCTGAGCTGGAGGAGCTCTCAGATGCTTCTAGGTTGGGAGTTTCTAATTTGGTGGCAGGAATCCTTGGGTGGCTTTGAGGTCTCTTCCTTGGGAATGAATTTGGACTTGAGGCCAGTGCTGAGTTTTGACCTCTGTGATTCTCAGATCCTGCAAGTTGAAGCATTTGTGATTCCCAGACTTGTGATTTAAAATTTCAAGGTTTTTTTTGTGTGTGTGTGTGTTGAAGCTTTTAATCCCAGGACTTTACTCTGCCCCCTGTTGCTGAGGGTGATTGTAAGGGGTAGGAGAGGGCTCTAGTGTGAGAGGCACATTGTGGTCCCTCAGATCCTCAATCCCTGGTGACAAGAACTTGAAAGACATTCAAGCAACCTTTGTCCCACTATCAGTTATGGAGGGGTTCAAACTTGGAACATTTAGGTCCTTTTGGGGGTCATTGAGAAATAGATTTGGGTTGCAACTTCAGTTCTGCCAGCACACCACATTTCCTGTAACATCTTCAAATCTGTGATCTGAGGTTGAGTTGCTTTGTCCTTTCCTGAAAATTTCTGCCTCTCAAAGCAGTTTCTGTCTGTGGCCAGCTCCATTCTCTCCTAATGCTCACCTGCTTCTCCACTCAGTACAAGGCATGGCTGTCAGCAGCTTCCAAGCTCAAGTCCTGGGATGGTAAATCAAAGCAGTGAGAAGTACTCTGGGGCCACATAAGCTGGTTTTGTTTTTTTGGTGTGTGTGTGGGCGGGGGGTGGGGGGGCGGTTTATTTTTTGTGAGACAGAGTTTCACTCTTGTCGCCCAGGCTGGAATGCAATGGTGCGATCTCGGCTCACTGCAACCTCCACCTTCCAGGTTCTCCTGCCTCAGCCTCCCGAGTAGCTGGGATTATAGTCATGCGCCACCACGCCCAGCTAATTTTGTATTTTTAGTAGAGAGGGGGTTTCACCATGTTGGCCAGGCTGGTCTCAAACTCCTGACCTCAAGTGATCCATCAGCCTCGGCCTCCCAAAGTGTTGGGATTATAGGCAAGAGCTACCGCACCCGGCCTTAGGCTGGTTTTGAAGCCTGATTCTGAGACTTTCTAGCAGTATGACTTTGGACAGGCTGTTTAGCTTCTCGTGCCTCAGTTTCCTCATCTGTAAAATGGGGGTAATGTTAGGACTCACCTCCCAGGATTGTTGTGAGGATCGGATGAGTTAGTTTATGTAAAGCACTGCACGGCATGCTGCTATACCAGCGCGAGTGATGATTATAAGAGGAAGGGCTTCACCAGCTTTAGTCTGAAAAAGCTCAGGAGACTACTCTGACTGGTGCTTCCTTCAACCAATCACTGTTCCCTGAGAGGTGGGGTCAAGTAAGAAGAGGCTCCTCACTCAGCCAATGGGCTGGAGAGGAGGGGAGGAGAAAGGGGGCGGTGATGAGGGAGGAGGGCAGCATTTAGCAAATGTGACCACTGAGCAGGCCTTAAAGCTGTAGTTTCATGACATACCCAAATTACGATATATTTGGAGCACCCTGCCCATTCCTCTGAGTCCCCCTGCTGTTTTTCATGCTCTGAGATCTGAAAACTGAAAGGTCCCTCATGGACCCTCTCGGGGCCTGTGCCACCCACCACTCTCCTGAGTTGTGGCCTTGCCAAACACAGCCCTTCTCTCCCTGACTGCCACCACCACCCTGGCCTGGTGGGGGAATGGTCGCTGAGGCACTTTGCTAGATCACCTTTCTTAATTCATTCCCATTCAGGTTGCTATAATGAAATAGCATAAACTGGGTAGCTTATAAACAACAGAAATGTATTTCTCACAGTTCGGGAGGATGGGAAGTCCAAGATCAAGGCAGATTGAGTATCTGATGAGGACCTGCTTTCTGGCTTATAGATGGTGCCTTCTTGCTGTGTCTTCACATGGAGGAAGGGGCGAGGAGTCTCTCTTGAACTTCTTTTATAAGGGCACCAATCCCGCTCTGCACCCATGGCCTAATCACCTCCCAAAGGGCCCACCTCCTAATACCATCACCTTAGACATAAGGATTTCCACATATGAATGTTGGGGGATGCAAACTGTCACTCTATAGCAATCACCCCATGCCATGGGTGGGACAGCCCCTTCCCTTAATTCCCCAGCAGCTCGGCTGAGGCCAGGCTATAACATCTCTATTTATTTATTAATTTATTTTGGTAGAGATGGGGTTTCACCATGTTGCCCAGTCTGGTCTTGAACTCCTGGCCTCAAGTGATCCTCCCACCTCAGCCTCCCAAAGTGCTGGGATTATAGGCATGAGCCACCATGCCTGGCCAGGCTATAACTTTTAAAAACACCTTAGGAAGAAGGGAGTGAGGGACAGATGATTTTATGATGTTATGGCCCTCTCCCCTCAGCCATCCTGGAAGGAGCCTTCCTGTAGAACATCCACTTCTGGGAGGGCCCAATGTGTCTTCCAACATCTTCTTTCCCAGGAAAAAAGAGGAATTTTTCTCTTAGCCCAAGATTCCCAAGGCTTCCTTTCTTATGCTAAGATCGGCTATAAAATAATAAATCAGTCTTTCCCAGGTGATCAGCAGTGCGGAAATCTACCACTTTCAAGTAAAATCCTTCCCCTGCCCTATAAATGGCTGGTCCTTTGCCCCATGACACCCTGCCAAAAGGACAATTATATTAGGACTAGGTGGGACATCAGAGACCCCATCCACGTGGAACTGGGCTAAGACACCCCGTTCCTTTTGGCTCCTTTTCTTCCCATGGGAGTGAAATTTGTTTTGCCTCCTGCAGCCTCAGGTGTTACTCCTTAGCTTCCCTCTTACAGGGTCTGCTCTGACCAGCCCCCACACCCTGCAAGAAGAAGCACTGCAGCCGCTCAATTCATTTCAAGCTAAGATACGTCCTTCCTCAGATACATACAGTAGCTAAATCTCAGGTTGAAAGAAACTGCCAAGTAAATGAGTATGTGGGCAATTGCTTTACATCTGGGTGATTGAAAGGTGTACCAAAGGGCTGACCCTGAGCACAGGACAGGCCACTCAAAGGAGGATAAATCAGGCTGGGTGTAGTGGCTCACACCTGTAATCCCAGCAGTTTGGGAGGCCAAGGCGGGTGGATCACTTGAGGTCAGGAGTTCAAGACCAGCCTGGACAACATGGTGAAACCTTGTCTCTACTAAAAATACAAAAATTAGCCGGGCTTGGTGGTGCGTGCCTGTAATCCCAGCTACTTGGGAGGCTGAGGCGGGAGAATCACTTGAAACTGGGAGGTGGAGGTTGCAGTGAGCCAAGATCGTACCACTACGCTCAGCTTGGACAACAGAGTAAGACTCTGTCTCAAAAAAAAAAAAAAAAAAAAAAAGATAAATCTCCACTCGACAGCGCTGCACTCGGGTGGTCACCCTTCTCCCCTTCTCTCCTCCTTTGCTTGCCACTGCTCCCTCCAAGCCCCAGCTCCTCTCCCCTGAACACCTTCTGAACTTGCCTGCTGCCTCTAGAATGTTCTCTTTCCCTTTCTCTGTGATCTGTAATGCAAGATACCTGCCTTTGACTGTGCCCCAACAGCCAGCATGTGACATGCAGCATCATCTGTAATCCACACAACTCTGACCAGGGAAGCCTTGCTTTCTCCACTTTAATAGAGGAGGAAACTTAGGCGCAAAGAGGTGAAGAGTGTTGCCCTGGATTATAGTGAAGAAGCCAAAATTCAGAGTCAAATATCCTATTCCCAGCAGTATATTGTACTGCCTCCCCCAGAAATGGCTTCAGTATCTCTTCATGCTTCCTAAAATGCATAGATGTCAGGGTTTTCTTTTTAATATTCGGTGGATAATTTTGTGTTCTGCTTTTTTCATATTTTTCCATATTCAAGTAAATTCGTTTAGGCAGCAAGGCTTTTTATTGAGCCAGGCACTGTTCTAGGCACATTAGAGAACAAAACAATAATGCAAAAACAAATTCCTGAAGCTGGGCACAGCCACATGTCCCTAGAGTCTCAGCTACTCAGGAGGATCACTTGAGCCCAGGAGTTCAAGACCAGCCTGGGCGATATAGTGAGACCCCACTCAAAACAAACAAAAGCCCTACCTGTGGAACTTAGTTTAATAGGGAGAGGGAGAATAAATGAATAAGCAAAATAAAAAGATGTCACTTGACAACAAGCGCTGTGGAAAAATAATGCAGGGCAGAAGAACTGGGAGGATGGAGGCAGGGGTTCAATTTTAAATAGAAAGGGGCTGGGCACGGTGGCTCACGCCTGTAATCTCAGCACTTTGGGAGGCTGAGGCGGGCAGATCATCTGAGGTCAGGAGTTCAAGACCAGCCTGGCCAACATGGTGAAATCCAGTCTCTACTAAAAATACAAAAATTAGCTGGGCATGGTGGCGGGCACCTGTAGTCTCAGCTACTTGGGAGGCTGAGGCAGGAGAACCACTTGAACCCGGGAGGCTGAGGTTGCAGTGGGCCGAAGACTGTGCCACTCATTCCAGCCTGGGTGACAGAGTGAGACTCCATCTCAAAAAAAAAAAAAAAAAAAATTAAACAGAATAGTCAGGGAAGGCCTCACGGAGAAGGTGATATTTGAGCTGAGACCCGAAGAAGGTGAAGTAGTGAATCGTGTGAGAAGAGCATTCCAGGCAGACGGAATAGCAAGTCCAAAGGGCCTGAGGTGGGAATGTGCCTGGCATATTTGGAGGTGAGCAAGGAGGCTGGTGTGGCTGAAATAAGAGAGGGAATAAAGGGAAATGATGTCGGGAGATGATGGGAGCATACAGGTTGTGCAGGGCCTCATGAGCCATAGACAGACTAGTTTTTGCACTGAGGAACATGCGGAGCCTTTGCAGGGCTTTGAGCAGAGTTGTGATGTGATCTGGCCTAAGTGTCAAATGGGCCTGGTGCTGTGTGGATAATAGACGGTAGCAGACTATGGTTGTGTGCCACCATGCCCAGCTAAGTTTTTATTTTTTGTAGAGACGGGGGTTTCACTATGTTGCTGAAGCTGGTCTCCAACTTCTGGCCTCAAGCAATTCTCCCGCCTTGGCCTCTCAAAGTGCTGGGATTACAGGCAGATGGAGCCAATTTCTATTGTCACCAGCAGTGTGTCAGGTAGCTCATCTGCCCTGAAGATATGTAGCTCATTTAATCCTTGCAACAACCTAATGAGGTTGGTGCCATCATCATCCCCGTTTCAGAAATGAAGTTACTGGCCCAGGGTGTCAGGTGCAAGCCCTGGCTTTCAAACCTGCTCTCTGAACTATTCTCTAATCGGATGAATTGCTTGGGACTGCCCAGCTAGGACATAGTGGGGCCAGGAGTCCATCCAGATCTTCCTGTCTTTGCATCCCAAGTTCTGACCCCTGAAAGGTTGCCATCAATGCTGGAAACCCCTCATTAGAGCTCTGACCCCTTTTTTCAGTTAGAGCTGTTCTTGGTCCCTTGTGCTAACCCAGGCTCCTTCTTTAGACCTACCTTCAGCAGCTCCTAGAGACCAGACTTAGGTAGAAGAGCCCAGATCCTAGAACAGAGACCCTCAGAGCAGGGAGGGCCCATGAGTTCTTGGCCCAAATTTCTCTCCCCTTTATATCTGGTGGGAAGAGGAAACTGCCCCACAGTGGGGCAGTGACTTGCCAAAGGTCACAGAGCTAGCGGGGGGCAGAGTCCATGCCTGCCCAAGGAGCAGGAATAGATCCTTCCTTAGGGGCCCTTGCCAGAGAATATTTAAGATCTGTCACTGTCACAGCCCTCCAAAGGCCCTTTGTTGACAGGCCTGTTCACTTGTGAATTATTAATGAGCCCAAACCTGTAACCTGTTAGGGTGGGGCTCACTCGCTTTAAGGAAACCTGCTTTACAGTCACCAGTTCAGTGAGAGAGGAAGGGTTCTAGACTCTGAAGAGGGGGTATCTGGGCTGGCAGAGACTGCAGGTGTTGGGGAGGGGGCGCTTCATGCCAGGGAAAGGCCTGGGGGAAGGGGCTGGGAGGGGTGCTGAGAAGGGGGAAGGAGTCACCCAAATAATGCTCAGTAATCTGCACAGCATCCCTGAGAGTTTGGGATTATTATCCCAGGTTTATAGATGGGAAAACTGAGGTTCTGAGAGGTAGAGGCAGAACTGACTTCACAGCTTAAGCTCTTTCTACAACAATGGCATCATGTGTCACTGCTTGCATCCCCCATTTCTATGACCTCTCCCACTTAAAACACCCCTCCTTTCTTCTCTTCTTCCCCCTTTCCCTAGAGAATAAGGAATCAAGACCTGGGTTCGAGCTACGGCTAGATGTTGGTCCAAGCCTCTATTTTCTCATCTGTAGGATGGGAGGTAATGCTATTACAAACTTTCTAGGGCATTCTAAGGGCTCACTTAATAGGTATTTATTAAGGGCTCTTTTTTTTTTTTTTTTTTGTGAGACAAGAGTTTCTCTCTGTCGCCCAGTCTGGAGTGCAATGGTGTGATCTCGGCTCACTGCAAGCTCCACCTCCCGGGTTCAAGTGATTCTCCTGCCTCAGCCTCCTGAGTAGCTGGGATTACAGGTGTCCACCATCACCTCCAGCTATTTTTTTTTTTTTTTTTTGTATTTTTAGTAGAGGTGGGGTTTCACCACGTTGGCCAGGCTGTTCTTGAACTCTTGATCTCAAGTGATCTGCCCGCCTCAGCCTCCCAAAGTGCTGGGATTACAGGCATGAGCCACCGCGCCCGGCCATATTAAGGGCCTTCTTAAGTTGACAATGGCACAGGTGAAAGCAGTCCATGAAGTTCTCAGGGCCATTGAGAGGTGTGGTGACACTGGTGATTTGTTCTTGCACGCTGGGGAGGAAATGAGGGAGGAAAGCAGGCCTGGCATCTCCCAGATGTAACGCACCAGGAAACAGGTCTCCTGACAGGAGGAAGGCATCCAGGACTCAGGATGCTGTCCCATCGCCAGGGCCCAGCTGTCACCTCAAGGTGGGGACACACAGGTGATCCAAGTAAGGTCACTTGAGTTGGGGAGGCAGAAATGATGATGGTGACTCACAGACTCCCCTGTGCTGGGGCTGGGCCAGAGCTCCTGGGGGCCAGGAACGGCCTGGGTGGGGCCCTCCTGAGGGGTGGGCCACTCTGATGCGCTGACTCACCAGGTGACTGGCTCTAGCATCACTGTTCGCTGTGATGGTGTGGGGAGAGTTCCAGCTCTAAAGGCGGCTCTTCTGCTTCCCTTACTGAGCTCATTTTTCATCTGTGAAATGGGGAGGAAAGTAGTGTCTAGTGGTCCACCACAACCATCACTAGGTCATTTATATAGCACTCTGCTATTTTCTTTCTTTTTTTTTTTTTGAGACAGGGTCTCACTCTGTTACCCAGGCTGGAGTGCGGTGGCACCATCATGGCCCACTGCAGCCTCAACCTCCTGGGCTCCATTGATCCTCCTGCCTCAGACTCTGGAGTAGCTGGGACTACGTACCCCATGCCGGGCTTTTTTTTGTTTTAGATGGAGTTTCACTCTTGTTTCCCAGGCTGGCGTGCAATAGTGCGATCTTGGTTCACCGCAACCTCCGCCTCCCGGGTTCAAGCGATTCTTCTGCCTTAGCCTCCCATGTAGCTGGAATTATAGGCATGCACCACCACACCTGGCTAATTTTGTATTTTTAGTGGAGACAGGGTTTCTCTGTGTTGGTCAGGCTGGTCTCGAACTCCTGACCTCAGGTGATCCGCCCACCTCAGCCTCCCAAAGTGCTGGGATTACAGGCATGAGCCACCACAACTGGCCTGGCCTTTTTTTTTTTTTTTTTTTTTGTAGAGACAGGGTCTCACCATGTTGCCCAGGCTGGTCTCAAACTCCTGGGCTCATGCAATCCACCTGCTTTGGCCTCCTAAAGTGCTGGGATTACAGGTGTGAGCCACCATGCTCAGCTTATATATGAATTCTTAATACTCGGAGCAACCTTGGAAGTCGGCAATATTATTTCCATTTTACTGATGAGGAAACTGAGGCTCAGAGAGGTGGTAAAGTGAAAATTAAATAAGATAATCCATGTTATACACTGAACATCATGTGTAGCATGTAAAAAGCCTGTGATGTGTGTCAGCCATTGTTATAATAATAACCTCAGAGGGAAATTGTAAAGTGCTAGGCCCCGCATTAGTGTCTGGTGACTAGTCAGGTACCTGATGTCAGGCCCTGAGACACAGAGATGAACTGGACCAGGCCCTAGCCTCCAGAAGCAGACAGTCACATACAAACCTCACTCTCTGCTCCCCACCACCCCAAACACACATACCACACACAGACAGTGACAGCTCAGGGTGATTAAGGTAGGTCAGAGTGGGTTAGGGCAGTGGGTGCAAAGGGAGCCCCTGACCCATCTATGGAGGGAGGGCTTCCTGGAAGAGGTGACATCTGAACTGAAACCTGCAGGGTTAGGAGGAGTTTTGGCATATGGCAAAATGTCAACAAATGTTGGTCAAATACAGTAAAGGTTTACTCTGGAGCTAATACAGCTTATAGCTTCAGGATTCTTCACTTACCTGGCCCCTGCCAAGGCTCTGGGAGAACCCTGGCAATTTTATACAGGCTGACTATCCCTAACCCAAAATGCTCTGGACCAGAAGTGTTTCAATTTTTGGATTTTCATGGATTTTGGAATATTTGCATATGCATAATGAATTATCTTGGGGATGGGGTCCAAGCCTAAACATGAAATTCATTTGTGTTTCATATACAACTTATACACATAGCCTAATGGTCATTTTTTTTTTTTTTTTTTTTTTGGTGGGGGCGATGGAGTTTTGCTCTTGTTAACCCAGGCTGGAGTGCAATGATGTGATCTCAGCTCACTGCAACCTTCGCCTTCCGGGTTCAAGCGATTCTCCTGCCTCAGCCTCCCGAGTAGCTGAGATTACAGGCGTGCGCCACCATGCCTATCTAATTTTGTATTTTTAGTAGAGATGGGGTTTCTCCATGTTGGTCAGGCTGGTCTCGAACTCTTGACCTCAGGTGATCTGCCTGTCTCAGCCTCCCAAAGTGCTGGGATTACAGGCATGAGCCACCATGCCCAGCCACCTAAAGGTAATTTTATACACAATATTTTTAATAATTTTGTGCATGAAACAAAGTTTGTGTACACTGAACCATCAGAAAGAAGTGTCACTCTCTCAGCCATCCATGTGGACAATCTGTGATTATTTGGCATCATCATCATTTTTGACTCTGAATTTATGTGCTCCCAATAAGCATTTTTTTACCCTTATTCACACATAAGTACTTAACAATAAAAATATAACATACCATTAATGCAGTGAAAAAATAGTGTTCAGGGTAACTCAGCAGCACGTGAGCATCAGTAGAATGCCTGTGTCCGCTGTAACAACAGCACAGCAAACATGGCAGGCCTGCAGTCTCCAACTACAGTGCTCAAAAAGCTTCAAGTTTCAGGCCGGGCGCGGTGGCTTACGCCTGTAATCCCACTGTGGGAGGCCAAGGTAGGCGGATCACTTGAGGTCCAGAGTTTGAGACCAGCCTGGCCAACATGGCAAAACCCTGTCTCTACTAAAAATACAAAAATCAGCTGGGCATGGTGGCACATGCCTGTAATCTCAGCTACTCGGGAGGCTGTGGGATGAGAATCACTTGAACCCAGGAGACGGAGGTTGTGGTGAGCCAAGATCACGAGATTGTGCCACTGCACTCCAGCCTGGGTAACAGAGTGAGACTTTGTCTCAAAAAAAAGAGAAAATAAAAAAAGCTTCAAATTTTGGAGCATTCTGGATTTCGGATTTTCAAATTAGGAATGCTCAACCTGTATTGGTAAATTTGTATTCTTTTTTTGAACAGCGGCCTCCCCATTGTAAGCTTCTGGATCCACCCCCGGTTACATGAATGACTAACAAGTGACAAGGGAGGAAGGTGTGTTCCACACAGAGGGAACAGCATGTTTAAATGCCTAGAGATTTGAAAGTGCATGACATGTGATAGGGGCCCCAGCCTCATCATCCTCTTTACATGTATTGCTTGTGGTCTCACCAGCCTCACCCTTTCCCACTTCCATGCCTTCATCCATGCTGCTCCCCGATCTGGTACACCCTCTCCATGACTTCAGTTTGTTTAAATAATATAAACTTCAAGGCTCAGTTCTGTCACCACCTCTTCCAGGAAGCTCCCCAGTCTCTCCCCTTGTCTGGATTCTTTATAGTTGCTGGTGGATGTCATCATAGCTTACTTCTAGTAGTTAATTATCTTTTTCGTGCCTGTATATGAGACTCCTAGAGATGGGATGATTCTTGCAAGTGAGCATCTGCCCCTGCTCACAAATGGGCAGGATGGGACTTCACTGCCTTTCCAGGCAGCCTGCTTAGATTTTAAGCAGCTACCACCAAGCCCAAACTGCCTGGCTCCCCTGGGATCTGGTACAAGTCCTGTTCCCACCGTGGTTGCTTCTGCAGGCTGTCCCCTTCTGCTTCCTCTTCTGACGTCCTGGAGGTCATAGTTGCTCCAGGGGAGCTACAGTCCTTCCTTACTTCTGTCCCCTCCTTTGTGAAGGGACAGCTCTAATGGCAGCCACATGCTCTGATGAGTCATGGTTAAGAGCAGCATCTGGGGCCAGGAGATGGTGACTGGTTAACTCTTCATGGGCCAGTGGCTTTCTGTGCCAGAAGATCAGGTCAGGTGGAGACACCGCCTCAGGGCTCGGTGCACAGTGGACATTTGGGGAGCGTTGTGGGTGACCCCCACACAGGCACTGGGAATGCAGGGGAGAGGGGGCCAAGGGGGAAAGGGGCCAGAGTGTTGGCTTTGGATTCAGGAGGGATGGATTCCAGTCCTAGCTTGCCACTTATTAGGTGAGTGACCATGCGTGAATCAAATGAACCCCATGCCTCAGTTTCCCCATCTGTAAAATAGCAATTATGGGGATCATTTGAGAAGGCAGTGTGAACTGCCAGCTAGCAGTGAGTGCTAAACCGTGTTTTCCCCGCCTTCTGGTCTCCTGCAGTCACTCAGTGGGCGAGATGGTGGGATTAAAATCCAGGCCTGACTCTGGGGGCTGTCTTTGTCTGCACGAATGCCCCCATTAATGCGGGAGGATGGTGACGGCTCAGGTGGGGGCCGCTTCGGGGCGGAAGCTGTGGGGAGGAGAAGTGACAGTAAAGTGGACCTCAGGTCCCGGAGAAGAACTTCTAGCGCCAAATAGGTGGGGACGTGTGAGGAGGGAGCGAGCTCCCGGCCCGGGCGGTGTCTGCGCAGAGGGCGCCGGGCTCTCACCTGTCGGAGCGGGGGTGGGGGCCGCCCAGAACCCCCGGCGGTGCGGGAGCGCGGGTCGCCGCGGGCGGCCATGGCCCTACGGTGCGGGTGGGGAGACCGAGGCTCGGCCCGGCCCCGCCGCCTTCCCCGCCCCCGGCGCGCCCCTCCCCGGCCGCCGCGTCCGCGACCGCACAGCGCCCGGCTCGGGGTTGCGGCGGCAGCACCTGGGCCGCGATTGGCGTCCGGCTGGGGCAGCGCCGCCCGCGCCCCTCGGCGATGACCTCGGCTGGCGGCGCCCCAGGAGCCCTGCCCGCGGGGTAAGTGCGCGGCTGGGAGGCCCGGGGGCGCGGGCGGCGCGGGCTGGGGCCCGGGCAGGTGGCGGGCGCCGCGCCAGGCCTCCCCCCGCGCACCGGCCTGGGGCCGCACTGCGGCTTCCAGCCCCCACCCCGCCCGGCCCCTGGCAGCCGCCGCCGCTGCCAGGAGTGGGGGCAGGGGGCTGTGAGGAGGCGGAGGCGCGGGGACCCCGGGTCGGTCACTCACCTTCTGGGTCCCAACTTTCTCACGGAGCTGTAGTCACAGACACGTTCAGAGCAGCCTTCCCCACCTGCCTCGTGGCGTTCACTCCTGTGGGGTGGGCCCTGTTACTCTCATCCCCATTACAGATGAGGAAACTGAGACACAGCACTTAAGTGACTTGTCATCGGTCACCCAGGAGGTAAGAGTTGCGGGTGGGATTTGAACTCAGTTCTGTCTGTTGTCAGATCCCCCCACCCCATCATCTTCAGGGACATTAGGGGAACTTAAACAGCTAAGGTATGGGCCAGCCGGGCCCATTGGGTGCAGCAGGAACCTGGGTAGTAAAAAGTGGGTGTTGTCACCTTCAACGTGGCTCTCCTGCCCAACCCTACCCACATCCCACTGAGAAACCCCTATAGGACCCCTACCTAGATCACCCCCCGTAGCAGTGACAGCCGCTACTGCCGGGAGACCTTCAGCAACTCTCTGCTTTTCCTGGGCCCCAGTGGGCAGGGCAGGGGGCAGCTGCTAGGAGCCCTGACTGCTGGGAGGTTGCTGGGCAGAGAGCCGGCCCAGGTGAGCTGGGAGGAGGGCTCACCCTGCCTGGAGCCTCACCACCAGTGACAATATTTGCTAAGGGCCCGAGGCTTGACACATGAACAGGGAGGTGACGAGGCTGGTGCCAGCTGGCAGCTGGAAGTCTCCACAGGGCTTGCGTGTGTGTGGCTCTATCAGGGCTTGGAAGCTGGGTTGCTGGGGGACACCCTGGCCTGGGAGAGGGTTGCCTGGTGAGTTTCAGCTTCATCATTTTTGTTGTGTGACTTTGGCCAAGTCCTTAACCCTTCCTAGACTTCTGGTCCCTCCTTTGGAAAACACAGAAGTGGGGCTGGCTGTTCCTTTCCTGTTCTGGGCTCAAGTATTTGTAAAGCTGGAGGTTGGGTAGGTTCCTTCTGTGCAGCCCTGACTGAGCACCACCACCCTGCTGGGTCCAGAAAAGTGGTTTCCAGGAGAGAAGGCGGGCATGGAGCAAGGTATCTATCAAAGAAGTCTAGACTCCCTGGCTGAAAACCACATTCATCCCACTTCCTTATATGCTTACATCCCTGCCTAAGTGCCCTCTACAACCCCGGGCACCTCTGGCCCTGCTGCAGGCCTCAGGACAGCAAGCTTGCTCTTCTCACGCTGGTGGGTCTTCCTTATGCAGAACCGTACCTGCCTCTCTGCATGCCTGCCCACTCTTCTTTGAAGCCACCTGTCCATCTGTCCCCAACCCTGGCTAGTGTCATCCTGGTGGGGTCTGAGCAGAGGAGGGCCGCACGCAGCAGGACCATTCTCACCTTCACTACAGAGACACTCACTCAACAGACACTCAGCAAGGCCTGCTCTGGGCCCAGATGGTCATTGGTGAACAAATCAAGCCTTAAATCTCTACCTTTTTAAAAATTATGAAATATTTTAAGCCTTCAGAAAAATATAGCAAATAGTAAAATGAACTCACAAACCCTTGCCACCCAACTTTGTCAGATATTAACATTGTGCCCCATTTATTTTATATTCTTTTTAAGAAATAAACCATAGTAGAGACCCTTGAAAGTCTTGTGGAAACCTCTTCCCTCCTTCCCTCTCCAGAATTACTTGCCATCCTGAATTTAGGTTTTATCATTTCTCTGTTTTTATTCTTTTACTCAGTGTGTGTAAGTCTTAAAAATATGTAGTTTGTTCTTCAAAGTTTTCTGTGAATGGAGTCCTATAGCATGTGTCATGCTGCAGCTCGCGTTTTCACACTCAACTTCAGGTCTCAGATTTAGCCTTGATCCTGTAGCTCTTGTCCCACTTGCCCTGATGTGTGATATACCACCCTATGTAGACACCTCCATTTGTTTATCCTTCTTGATGGATGTCGAAGTGTTCCCAGTGTCTTGCTATTCAGACAGTGAATATTCTTGTATGATGGTGTTTGCACATGTGTTTCACGAGGGTGCCCCCTTAGTAGTGGAATTGCTGGGTTGTTGGATATGTGCACTCGATCTTAAATAAAATAAAATAAAATAAAATAGAGACAGGATCTCACTTTGTTGCCCAGACTGGTCTCAAACTACTGGGTTCAAGCGATCCTCCTTCCTTGGCCTCCTGAAGTGCTGGGATTACAGGAGTAAGCCACTGCGCCTGGCCCACTCAATCTTTTAAAGTTATTTAGTTTCATTATAAAGTCAGTGCTACTTGATCAAGAAATGATGGTAAAGCCGCACGCAGTTGCTCACGCCTATAATCCCAGCACTTTGGGAGGCCCAGGCAGGTGGATGACTTGAGATCAGGAGTTTGAGATCAGCCTGGCCAACATGGTGAAACCCTGTCTCTACTAAAAATACAAAAATTAGCCTGGCATGGTGGTGCACACCTGTAATCCCAGCTACTCGGGAGGCTGAGGCAGGAGAATCTCTTGAACCCGGGAGGCGGAGGTTGCAGTGAACCCAGGTAGTGCCATTGCACTCCAGCCTGGGCGACAGAGAGAGCCTCTCTCAAAAAAAAAAAAAAAAATGGCAATACATAATTTTAGAAAAAAATAATAATTACTCACATTTTCTGAGTACTCTTGTGCTTTCCATAGTCTTAGTCATTCTTCACAAAAACCGTGGGAGGTAAGTACTGTCATTCCCATCTCCTTGATGAGGAAACGGAGGCTCATAGAGGGTATGGAACATTCCCAAGGTTATCCAGCAAGTAATAGCTGCAGCTTGAGTCTAGGGTTGTCTGCTTTCAGAACTCTTGCAGGCCACACTGCATTAGGTCATGCTACATCACTCCGTGACACATTTATGTGCAGCTAAGGGGGACTCTTTGGAAGGAGAGTCACAATCATTTTTGCAATTTAGAAAGATCACTTCTAAAGCAACAGATCCCCATGGGCAGATTATTTTACTCGTTGAGCCAAAGTTCCCCTCAGTGGTGGAGCAGGGATTAAAATCCAGCTCTGACTGCAGTTGGCTTCCTGAGCGACCGCTCCGCCGCCTCACCCACCCCACACCCACCTCATCCTGACTGGGATGGAGGTAGGAGGATTTTCTGTTCTCAGTGGGAACTGAGGGTCTCCCAGCTCTACCCAGATCTGCCCATGAGGCACAGAAGCAGCAGTCCAAGCCAACTCTAGTAGAGAAGTGGGAGGGAAGGGGAGAGTGGGGGCGGCTCCAGGCTACCTGACACCCCCTCCCACCCTCTAGCTCCCTTCTCGTTTGGGCCTCAAGTGTGGGTGGGATCTGAATGAGAGAGCCGCCACCACTGTGCCAGAGCTCCTGGCATTGGTCACCAGCTCTGCTCCATCCAGCCCAGCACCTCTTCTCCGCGTCCCTCTCCTCTGTTCCCCAACACACAGTGGAGAGGCCACCATCACCGCAGGAATAGATGTCACCTGGGCCAGGCAAGGTGTCCTTGGAAAAGAAAGGTCTTGGAGACGCAGGGGCAGCCTGTGGAGAAATGGGGGCCTCAGTCTCAGCCAGGTGAGGGGAAAGGTTTGGCGCTGTTGCTTCCACAGAATGCATTTTTGTCTTCTCCCAGGCTCCTGAGAGGAGCCTGACTGCGTTCCTGTCTTCACTGCCTGTCCCTGCCATATCTATCAAAGACAGATAAGGGTGCCTGCTGGCAGGACTGAGTGAAATAATGCAGTCATCAATTTAAATAAGTTGAAGTGGTAATCTCTTTGTGGCGATGGGTGGTTGGTTGTTAATGCTATTATTAAGTCAAATGGGGCGGATGTCTCCAGCCTTCCTGAGCTCTCTAGCCACCGCAGCCTCACCCCTCCATTTAGCTGGCCTTGCAGAGCCTCTGTCTTCCAAGCCCTTCCAGAACGCTTGTACCTCCTAACTGTGGTGTCATGCCTCCAGCCCTGTGTGTGTGCTGTTTCCCCTTCTTAGACTTCTTTCTCCATCTTGTTCTCAGTTTGATGGCATTTTCCTTGATGCCATCCTCCTTCCATGATGCCATCCTCCTTCCGCCCAGCCTCCTCAGTGCCCCAGGCTGAGTTAGAGGTGTCTTCTGGGCCCCTTTGGCCCCCAGTGATTCCCATGATCACAGCCCTGAGCACTGTAGCGGTCACTGCCCTGTCTGCATCTGTCACCTGTAGGCTGTGAGCTCCTGAAGAGGCAGGCCTAGGTCTGTGTCCACTCTGTGTCCCCAGAGCCCAGTCCCACGCATAGCCTAGAGCACGAGATTCGCGGGTGCTTGTGGGAGGGAAGGAGGGAGGAAATCAGCCCAGGGCTCAGCTCGCCCCCAGTCTGGGGGAGGTTACCGCAGACAGCCTCATCCCAGTTAAGCAGAAGAGGTGCCGGGGCTGCCGAGGGAAGGACTGTGCCTGTCTGCACTGACTGTCCATCCGGCCTGGATCTTTCTCTCCAGGTAGACCAAGTAGACAGGACCTTTTCCTCGGTGGGGGATGGAGGTGGTGAGGGGTGTGTGCAGAAATGGGAGGCAGGCTCTTGGCTCAGAAATTGTTTAGAGGTTGGCATAAACCACAACAATGGGCTTGACTTTCTGGGGCTGAGCTGATGGGTACTGGCTCAGGCAGAAACTTGGGTTAGAATGCATGCTTGGATGTGTGACCTTAGCTTGGATGTGTGACCTTAGCCAAGTTACCCGTCCTCTGTGCCTCAGTTTCCCCATCTGCAATAGGTGTGGGGGGGTAATAATCCCATTTCACAGGGCATTTTGAGAGCAGTCAGAGAGAATGCCAGTTAAACACCCAGGCAGTAGATGCTCACTGCTGCCTCATTGATTCATCCAACAGAGATGAATGGCTTGAACACCAGTCACTAGGCTATGCCCTGGGCAGAGACAGACACCATCCCAGCCTCTGAAGAGAGGGGCAGGGACCACATCAGGTGGGGCCTTTTAGGCCATGGAAAGGAACTTGGCCTTTACCCTAAGAGCAATGGGAAGCCAGGGAAAGATTTTAAGTCCAGAAGTGACATTTGTGGTTTTTTTTTTTTTTTTGAGATGGAATTTTGCTCTTGTTGCCCAAGCTGGAATGTAATGGTGCGATCTCTGCTCACCACAACCTCTGCCTCCCATGTTCAAGCGATTCTCTTGCCTCATCCTCCGTAGTAGTTGGGATTACAGGCATATGCCACCACGCCCAGTTAATATTGTATTTTTAGTAGAGGCGGGGTTTCTCCATGTTGGTCAGGCTGGTCTCGAACTCCTGACCTCAGGTGATCCGCCCGCCTCAGCCTCCAAAAATGCTGGGATTACAGGCATGAGCCACCATGCCCAGACAGATGTGGGTTTTAAAGATGTATCTTTGGCAATTATGGGAGAGACAGGTTAGGGGAAATAATGCTTCCAACATTCTCTCTCAAAGAAACTACCTAGAGGTGGGGATGAGTTACAACAAACATCCTTTAAAGTACATTCCTGGCCAGGTGCAGTGGCTCACGCCTGTGATCCCAGCACTTTGGGAGGCTGAGGCGGGTGGATCACCTGAGGTCAAACACCTGAGGAGTTTGATACCAGCCTAGCCAACATGGTGAAACCTCATCTCTACTGAAAATACAAAAAAATTAGTCGGGCATGGTGGTGGGCACCTGTCATCCCAGCTGCTTGGGAGGCTGAGGCAGGAGAATAGCTTGAACCTGGGAGGAGGAGGTTGCTGTGAGCTGAGATCGCACTACTGGTCTCCAGCCCGGGCAACAGAGAGACACCCTCTCCTCAATAAATAAATAAATAAAATAATTCAGTACATTCCTGAACTCCCACAGAAGTAACAGAAACCCCCTCCAGCCAAGCGTGAAGAGAGAACTGAAGTCAGGCTGGCAAACAAGATGAAGCCACAGCAACCTTAGGCTATTTACACATTTCAGAAATCTAAAGCCAGGAGTTTCAACGGCCACTCAACAGATGGGAAAGAAGGTCTTGGGCCTACACAGTTACAGTTTAAGGAGTTGGAACTTAGCATTCCCCAACTCAACACTTAAATCTGGGACCCTCCAAGGGCTACAGCCTCAGTGAATAGGAAGATTGGCTAGAAAAAAGGTCCGCCCCCACCAGCAAAGTTAGACAGCATTTCTGGTGGGAAAAAAAGACTCCCTAAAAAATGATAAATACTGGTCTGCCATCACACAAACTTTGGGTTTGATGGCACACCACTACCTTTGTGGTCCTGGAAACCATAAACTTAAAAAAGTAACTTAAATGGTCTCAGGGTGGTAGTTCCCCTGGGAACCTGGACAGAGTAAATGAAAAATCCTTCCTGGAGCAATGTATCCTGTCCCACAGTCCCTTTGGATCTGTCAAACATGAATTTGTAATATAATTGCAAAACACACAAGGAAATAAGCCACTGTGAGCAGCAGGCACCAGAAACAAGAAAGAGCAGAATTAGTTTCCCTGAGAGTCTAAAATGCTAGAATTATGAGATATAGAATAGAAATAATTATGTTTAAAATGTATAAAGGAATTGAAGATGGACTTGAGGCAGGGAACATAATACTACCCCAAATAACTAAGATTTGAAAAAGAACCAAGTGGAATTTCACAAAATGAAAAATATAATCATTGAAATGAAAAATTCAGTAGGTAGGATAAGTAGCAGGTCAGACACACCTAATGAAAGAGCTGGTGAAATGAAAGAAATTACTCAGGATCTAACAGAGAGCCCAAGAGATAGTATAGAAGTTAGTTAAGAGACATGAAATATGGAATAAAAAGGTCTAACAGAGAAGAGAGAAGAAGGTGGAAAGAGTGGAATGGAGAGTGTTCCAACAGACCTGGGTAAAGATGGTGCTGGCCTGGACCAGAAGGTATTGGGCATAGAAGGGGTTGATTGAGAGATGTTAGGAAGTAGGCTGTGGCTTATACCTATAATCCCAGCACTTTGGGAGGATGAGGTGGGAGGATCACTTGAGCCCAGGAGTTCAAGACCAGCCTGGGCAACATATGAGACCCTATCTCTGTAAAAATTCTTTATAAAAAAGGAAGTAGAAATGATGGGATTTAGTGGAGTTTAGTGATGGAGGGGATGACAGAGGCCAGAGAAGGGATGTGGCAAAGATGATTATCAGATTTTTGGCTTGGGGAATTGGGTAGAGGAGTGTTGCTTATTGGGTAGAGGAGTGGACAAGCATGGTGTCTCACGCCTGTAATCCCAACACGTTGGGATGCTGAGGCAAGAGGATCACTTGAGCCCAGGAGTTTGTTGAGACCAGCCTGGGCAACATGGCGAGACCCCATATCCACCAAAAAAAAGAAAGGCAAAGACTGGGGGAGAACAGATTGGGAGAATGAACACGAGTTCAGTTTTGAAAAAGACATGTTTCAATTTGCCTGGGAAGATCTACTGATGCATCTCAGAGTGGGAGACTTTAGAGCTGGGCCCTAAGGTATATGTAGGAGTTTACCTGGTGGAGAGGGAATTTCTTTTAACTAACTTCTGGGAAATAGGATTTCCCTTCAGGGAGAGTATCAAGCCTCTTTCTGGAACATTCTTTCACTCAAAGGAGGCCCCTTGAGAAGAGGCATTATCAAAACATCAAATAGGCAGGGCTTCTGGGATCTCTTAGTTTCATCTCTCATTTTTATATGGGAAAGCTGAGACCCAGAAAAGTCAGGGGTTTGCTTTCCTAGCCTTAGACTCTTCATTCATTCATTCATTCATTCATTCATTCATTCATTCATTTACCTAACAGATATTTATTAAAAGCCTACTTTGTACTGGATACTAGTTGCTGGGGATACAGCAGTTAAAGATTCTTGCTTCCTGGAAGCTTATAGTTTAGTGGAGGGAGACAGACAATAAACACAAAAATAAGTAAAATATATCACGTCAGAGGGTGGTAAAAGCTATAGAGAAACGTAAGGACTGGAAAGGGCTCAGGTATTCTGGAGGAGCCATTGGCAAAGTGAATTTGAAAGGCCCTGGGCCTCTCGTTTGGGGCTGCTGACCCATAGTGTGACAGCCCATTGTGACAACGTCAGGGATTCTAGAGTCCAGGCCTGGGGGAGGGAGGAGGCCTTGGAGAAGGAGGAGGGAAAAAGGGGCTGTGGGATTTAGTGGCTGGGCTGCACCCCCTGGGGGGGCAGCAGAGCCCAATGGGCCAGAAGGGCCACAAAGACTCCCTTTACCCTTGTGGAGGGTAAGATCATTGATTCCTGAGGCCTCTTTGCACCTTGCCCTTGGCCCCTCCCCCACCTCCAACAGATCTCTGATGACATTCCCTTCTGCTCCCCCTCCCACCCTTGGGAACACCAAGAGGTGGGTCCAAATTGTCCCTGCGTCCCAGTACAGAGTGGCAGCCTGGAGGAGCTCGTGACAGGCACCCAAGGCTGGCCAGGGAGGCTGAGTAGACCCTGTGAGGCTCTGTTCCAGCCAGGAGAGGCTGGAGGGTTGGAGGGCCCCTGTGTCATGCCCCGCATCTCTTCCCCCAGGACTCCTGAGAGCAGCCTCCATGAGGCCCTGGACCAGTGCATGACCGCCCTGGACCTCTTCCTCACCAACCAGTTCTCAGAAGCACTCAGCTACCTCAAGCCCAGGTGAGGCTCAAGCCCCGGTTGGGGTAGGGGGTGTGCATGACGGTCAGGGAGAACCAGAGGTCTTGTATGAGAGGAACCCTGTGTAACTAAATGCCTTTGGCTTTCTGGGTCACCAGGACCTCTGAGAAGTCCCATAAAAATGGCTCAAGCTCCATTCCACGGCCTGTGTGCAGCCAGGCCCTCTCCAAGGTCACTGTGACTTGCTTCTTCTTAGGCTCTTGAGGGTTCTTCACACTTTGTTACTTGTTCCCGCAGAATCCACTTGGAGTTTCATCCTCACCAGCTCTCACATGACTCCTTTGTTTATTTTTCCCCAAAGCACTAAAGACTTAGGTTGCCTGCTTTCCTGGGTGTTTTAGGGCAATCAAGAGGGCTGCTCACTTGACCATTTCCTTGAGTACTCACTGCCATGTTTCTGTAAATACAAATCAATAATGGGCGTATACTCCTTTTTCTTTACTTATCACTTTTTCTCAGTTTTAAAAATTGAGATGTAATTCAGATACCGTAAAACTCACCCTTTCTTATCACTTTAAAACATTTATTGGGCTGGGCGTGGTGGCTCACGCTTGTAATCCCAGCACTTTGGGAGGCCAAGGCGGGTGGATCACTTGAGGTCAGAAGTTCAAGACCAGCCTGGCCAACATGGTGAAACCCCATCTCTACCAAAAATATAAAAAATTAGCTGGGTGTGGTGGTGTGTGCCTGTAATCCCAGCTACTCAGGAGGCTGAGGAAGGGGAATCACTTGAACCCTGGAGGTGGAGGTTGCAGTGAGCCAAGATCGTGCCACTGCACTCCAGCTTGGGTGACAGAGCAAGACTCTGTCTCAAAAAAAAAAAAAAAAAAACCAGAAAACATCTACTGATAGATGAGAATTTAGCTTTCTTACACCCCTGCCCCACCTCCCTTCCCTCATCTTTCTCGTCATTATATCACAATATTGGGGTAAATCAATAATCAGTGTTTAACTAGGCGTGGTGGCTCATGACTATAATCCCAGCACTTTGGGAGGTCGAGGCAGGTAGATCGCTTGAGCCCAGGAGTCTGAGACCAGCCTGGACATGGTGAAACTCCATATCTACAAAAAAAAATACAAAAAATTAGCTGGGTGTGGTGGTGTGCGCCTATAGTCTCAGCTATAGTATATAGTAGCTATAGTCTCAGCTACTTGGGAGGCTGAAGTGGGAGGATTATCTGAGCCCAGGAGGTTGAAGCTGCAGTGAGCTGTGATCTTGTGCACCACTGCACTCCAGCATGGGGCAACAGAGCAAAACCCTGTCTCAAAAAAAAAAAAAAAAAAAAGAAAAAGAAAAAGAAAAAAAGAAAAGAAAAGAAAGAAAGAATCAGTATTTACCTTACTATACCTTTGTGATTAATGCTTATTGCAAAGAAAATCATGTGCGAGACTATTTCCTTCTAGAGTTAATAATTTTATTGCTTTTCCCATTGGCCTAATTTGCTAAACATTTATCCGTAAGTCTTTATAACCACTCCATCAGATCATCCTATCGTTGAGTTTTTCCCAAAATGCTGAAACCTATCAAGTAAGCACTCAGTACCCCCCTCATTTTCCTGGAAACCTATCCTTGGGAGGACAGACATGTCTTCTGGCTCCTCCTGGCTGTTTCCTGGAGCTCCTTTGCTTTTCTCCTGTTTCTTTGATTCCAGGTCTTGTCTCTTGTGTCCCCCTCATTTGCCAGGGAATGTCCTATAGAAATTTCCTAAGAAAGTCTGGGCGCAGTGGCTCATGCCTGTAATCCCAGCACTTTGGGAGGCTGAGGTGGGTGGATCATTTGAGGTCAGGAGTTCAAGACCAGCCGGCCAACGTGGTGAAACCTCGTCGCTACTAAAAATACAAAAATTAGCCGGGCATGGTGGCGAGTGCCTGTAATGCCAGCTACTCAGGAGGCTGAGGTGGGAGGATCGCTTGAACCCAGGAGGTGGAGGTTGCAGTGAGCAGAGATTGCTCCATTGCACTCTAGCCTAGGTGACAGAGTGAGACTCTGTCTGGAAAAAAAAAAAAAAGAAAAAGAAAAAAAAGAAATTTTATAAGAAAGACTTGCATAAATATATTTTTTTCCCTAAGAATTTTGAATACCTTGCTTCAGTGTTCTAGCATTTACTGTAGCTGTGAGAACCCTAATTCTTCTTACTCCTTCTCCAGAAAGGTTTAGGATTGGCTCTTGTATTTCTGAAAATCTGGAATTTTACCATGATGTGTGGCAATGAAGTCTTTTTTATCCTGGATTGTTATGCGGGTTCTCAGTTCTGGGAAGTGCTCTTGTACGATGGTTCCGTCTTGTTTCCCTTTCCTGGGCTTTCTTTAACTCACCTTTTGGACCTCCTAGGTCAGTCCTCTTCTGAGCCTCTTCCCTCTCCCTCTCCTTTTTCCCATTGCTTTATCTTTTTATTCCATCTGATTTTTGGAAGATTTCCTCACCCTTCTCATTAATTCCTTCTGTTGACTTCTTTATCTCTGTAACCATATGATTAATTTCCTGGTATTCTTTATTCTCTGAATGTTCTTTTTTCCCTATAACATCTTCTTCTTGGTTTATGGTGCACCAACTTCTTTATATCTATATTTGGAATATGAGGCCCTTAGGACAGTGCCTGGCATGTATTAAGTATCTAATAAAGTATTTATTGTTATTATTGTCACAATATTATTTCTCTTTAAAATGTTTCATTCTTTTCCTGCATAACTAGGCTTTCTCCATGTTCCTGGAGTCTGTTTAATGGGGAATCCTCTTCTCATGGGGTGCTTTCTTCAAAAACCCAACCATCCCTGGCTGTCTGTCTAGTCCTGTTTAAGAATGAGTTCATGCGAAGGCCAGCTGGGAGGTCTGTGCCAAGCTGCCTTGTAGTTGGTGGGGTTGGCTTTGGATGACCTAGAGAGCTGGCCCCCAGATGTCAGCACCCGGGATGGCTTAACTTCTCCAGAGAGGAGTCGTCCATTTCTCAGCCTGGACAGAGAGCCCTGGCGGCCTGAATTGGGAGACTAGGGGCTGGGGTCTAATCATCTCTGCCACCTACTCTCCGTAGTCCCCTTCTTTTCAGCTCCAGCTTGTCCCCTGCACCCAAGCTCCAAGGAAAAGTGAATGCTGAGGCCAGGGGACTGGTTTCCACAAGTCCCCAGGCCTGACCTCTTCAATTTCTGTAGACATCATGGACCCATCTTTCTCCCGTCTAGGGTCAGTGGCCCAGCTTCTGGGGTGGGGTGGGTGTTCCAGGGCGTGTGGCAGTCTCCACACCATACTCCCACTGTCTGAGGGGACCTGGCTTGAGGGGGTCAGGCTGGGTGGGTCAGGGCCTGCAGCAAGAGCATGACCATGGCCTGAGGCAGGCCCAGCCGCAGCCTGCTCTGTCTTGGAATGTCCAGGTTCCCCTCTCAGTTTTCTTGGAAGGCTCTCCAGCTCCTGCTTCTCCCCTAGTCATTTCCTGTCACTCACTCGAGCCTGGACCCCAGACCATAGCCACCCTCCTGCACTGGAATCCAGCTGCCCAGGACACAGCTGCTCAGCCGGTCCCACACCCCAAGCACAGACACATCAGGCACCTTTCTCCTCACCCACTGAAGCCCCGATAAGGCCATGCCTCAGCCTACTCTAAACTGTCCTGCAGACTTGGGGCCAACAGAAGGGAGTCGAAACACAGGAGAAAATATTAAAACCAAAGGCTGTGGCTGTGCCTGGGTCCTCGAGCTGTCCCTGCCACATGGTCCCTGAAAGGGCTTTTCCCTCTGTGGCCCCCTCACCTCAGGAGGGCATTCTAACAGGAGTCCTGTAGCACTCAGGATCGCCAAAGGAAACCCTCGTCCTAACAGAGACACCCCAGGAATCCAGTCTTCCCATGGGGCCACCTGTTATCTCACGTGGGAAGTAGTGCAGCTTCTGTTTCTTAGCCCCTGCCTTATTCCAGAAAAGGATCCTTTCCTTCTTTTTTCTTTTTGTTTGTTTGTTTGTTTTTGAGACAGAGTGTTGCTCTGTCGCTCAGGCTGGAGTGCAATGGTGTGATCTCGGCTCACTGCAACCTCCACCTCCTGGGTTCAAGCGATTCTCCTGCCTCAGCCTCCTGAGTAGCTGGGATTGCAGGTGCGCGCCACCAGGCCTGGCTAATTTTTTATATTTTTAGTAGAGACAGGGTTTCACGATTTTGGCCAGGCTGGCCTCCAACTCCTGACCTCAGGCGATCCACCCGCCTTGGCCTCCCACAGTGCTGGGATTACAGGCGTGAGCCAGCGCACCAGGCCCTTTCTTTCTTTTTAACAGTTTTCCTCCAAATAGTAATGTCAGTAGCACACCACCCCCAGACCACCTGTGACAACCCAAAATGTCTGCAGAAATTGCCACATGTCCTCACATTGGGAGTGGGGATACCCTGGCACTTCCATTGAGAACCACGGGTCTAGAGAAAACAATTCTTGCTGGAAAACAGCCTCCCTTCCTCACTGATGGCCACCAAAGCTTCAGAAGATGTTGGGCCCAGTGTCATTCGCTGTTCTTCGCTGCACACATTGTCTCGTTTAATTGTCCTGGTCCCATGCAGTGGGGGATGGTGCTCCTCTTTCTCTCTGCATGGGGCATCTGGGCTTTCCTAGCTCCCTTCCCCGCCTTGCCTCTGCTTTCCATAAGTCATGCCTTTGAGTAGCATTGTCTCTGCTTCTAGCATATTTCACTTAGCACTGAGTCTGACCTGACGCACTGTCTCTGGGACATGGAGGCTACTGCTTTTGGCTTTCTTGAATTACATGATCGTGGTTAATAAATGGCAGAGTGGGATTTGGATCCAGGTCCTCCAGCTGCACAAACCACACACTGACTGCTGTGTGTGTGGTTTGCCCTCCCCCTTGGGTTGGCGTCATTTACCTTGGGCAGGGCCTCACATCTGCCTCCCCCAAACCATGAGGAGTGAAGGAGGTGGAAAGGGTGCACTGGGGGCATGTGTGGGGGTGCAGCAAGTTCAGGGTATGCCCTTGAGTGTTCTGTAGTTTTCTGAGGGAAGAGGCAAGGTCACCTGCCAAGAGCGAGGGGCCAGGTGGTGTTGCAGGGATAATAAGGAGAGGGGAAAAGGTGTTTCTGGGCAGGATGCCAGGCCTGGCCGAGGCTGAGGCCCCAGTCCAGCCTGTGTCTGTCTGTGTAGGGGGCAGCTTTCTCCAGCATTGCTCAGTGGCAGTGTGGAGAAAGTGGGCAGTTGCATGGCTCCTGAGCTGGGCTCCTAGCTAGGTTCAGCAGAAGGTTGGCAGGCTTGGCATTGAGTATGTTGAAAGAGAGAGACTGGTATGAGGACACTAGGCTAAGCAGTCAGGAAGAGGGGACAGGCTGGAGGAGGGAGGATGGGCAGCGGGAGTGATGAGCCAGTATGGGCAGGTCAGGAGGCTTATAGCTGGGAAGGCGGCGGCATCCTTTAAGACTCCAGAAGCAGAGCCATTCTGTGTGATGAAGACAAGGTCACGCTATGACTCAAAGGATGGAGGTGGTTGGGCACCTGTCACTGGTTCATTCAGCAACAGCCTTTGAGCGCCCTCCTGGGCCCGGCAGTGTGCTGGGTGCTGGGGCTCCATTACTGAGCAAGACGTGGGCTGTTCTCAGGGTCCAGCAGGGAAATGGTGAAACAAGCAATAAGGGGTGCCGAGAACGACCCAGGGACCCCATTTCCTGTGGGAAAGGGGCTGGTCAGGAGGGCTGCCTCATTCCCTGGGGCTCATTGCCAAATAGAAATTCAGGGTCATTTGTTCAAATATTATTAAAATTTAAAAACAGTGACAGCAGAGAATTAAACCAAACATGGGCCCTTTTTAGGCACAGGCCCTGTGCAACAGCATAGACCACACACCCGTGAAGCTGCCCTGGAAGGCTTACTGGAAAAAGTGACATTTACACTGAGATGGACTGGATGAGAAGGAGTCAGCCAGATGGAGGGCGTTTCTAGGCAGAGGGAACAGCCTGTGCAAAGGCTCAGTAGTGAATGAGGGTCTAGAGTATCTGAGAGATGGAGACACTCACCTTGGCTGGAGTGGGAGGAGCTGAGGCAGGTCCCAGAAGGAAGAAGGCAGGGTGATGGACAGCGGACTGGGGATGGGGAGTCCATAGAAGCAACTTGGGCTGGAGAGGAAGACAATGAAGTGGGGTCTGAAAGGACCAGAAAGTGGAGTAGGGGGAGCTTCAGTGAGCACGAAGAGGAAGAGACTTGGAGAGGCCAAGGGGCTGCCTCTGCCTTCCAGTGCCCTCCCTATCCTGACAGCCGGTCTGGGCCCAAGAAGGTGGGACCCCAGTAGACATGTCCCAGAGTGAGAGGACAGCTCAGGAATGAGGGGACTAGCGGCCTAGATGATATATATGCAAATACAAACTTGGGTACAAGCTAAACTTGGAGTGCCTGAGGTTTGAGGGTTGTCATACCTCTGTACTTCATTTCCCAGTTCAGACTAGAGTTGGGGGCTTCCAGGAGGTAGGCTGGGGAGGGGCTAGTATTCTTAGCCACAGGTGCCTGTTGGGGCCTTGGGCCTCAGACTAGAAATTCCACATTTCTGCCAGCTGCCCGGGTGGGGCTGTCCCTCTTTCTGGGCCCAGCACCAGACAAGTTTCCACAGGTGGGGCTGGGCAGGTGGTGCTGAGTCCCGGGCCTCAGACCTGCAGTGGGAGAGGAAGAGAGAGACAAGGACTTGAGAGATGGAGAGGCCTGGGGGCTGGGGGTGTTATCTGGGGGATGGGTCTGTGTGCTGCCAGGGAAGCCCCTCCTCGAGGAGAAGGACTTTATGCAGGGAAGTGACGCAGGACACGGAGGGACTCATATTTACCGAGCTTTGGTGCAGTGGCCCCTGGCCTGGGTATTCTATTTAAGCCATGCAAAAACCCATTGGGGAGAAGAGTTAAGGTTTTCCTTCCGCAGGGAAAAACTTGAGGCTCAGAGAGGCTATGAGACATGAGACATGCCAGGTCACACAGCTGGTAGCTGGCAAAGCTGACTCCAACCTGTGTCTGAGGGACTCTGAAACCTGGTTCTGGCCCCCACTCTGGGCAGCCTGCTCCTCTCTACAAGCCACTGCCTGCAGATTAAGCAGTCCTAGCAAAGGCCTGGGAGCATCCAGAGAGTGCCCCTGGCTGGCGAGTGGTAGAGCAGCCTTGGTTTCCTTCCTTTGACCCTCAAGGATCACAGGAGTGTCACCCAGAAGTAACTTAACTTATGAGTGTTTTATGAACAGGAAAAGCAGGAAAAGGGGTAAAGTCACATGATTTCACAACCAAACAGCCTGTAAACCTTAGTCATCTCTCTTTCCTCTGAAGTTCCCAGCATAAACCTGGCACTGAGGAGATTCATAAATAATTCACGAGGAGACCTGGGGAAGGGAGTAAAGGCGCTCTCAGTCAGTCCCACAGTCTCGCAGGGACCCGGGCAGGCTGGCATTATCGTCCCCATTTTGCAGAAGCAGAAATCTAGGCCCAGACATGTTAAGTGACTCCCTCCACATACAGAGAGGACCTGGCATTGTTCCCGTCCCTCCCTGCCTGTTGCCTTCTCCATGTGATGGACTAAATGCCACCCCCTGCCCCCAACACACCCTTCAGCTGAGGAGCCTGGGTCGGTGAAGGAGCAGGGAGCCCAGAGGCTCCTGAGGCCACCTTGGCTCAGCCCTGACATCGGTGCTGAGGACAGAGATGAGTCACACACAAGCTCTGTCCTCGAGGTGCCCACAGTATGGGGAGAGCTGAGCCTATGCTGATGTCAGTTCAGCGTGGCCCGTGCCTCAGTTACAGATGGAGTCCCTGAGGAGGAGGCCTGGATTCCCAGTGGTCTGGGAGGCATTTGAGGCCTTGACAGATATGTCAGGAGATGTAGAGGAAGAGCATTTCTTTCTTTTTTAAAAAAATTATTATTACTTTTTAGAGACAGTGTCTCACTATGTTTCTCAGGCTGGTCTCAAACTCCTGGGCTCAAACAATCCTCCAGCCTTGCCCTCCCAGAGTGCTGGGATTACAGGCCTGTGCCACCACACCTGGCCGAAGAAGGGCATTGCAATCTGAGGGAACAGGCTGGGCAAAGGCCTGGAGGAGGGAAATGTGGGATTTTCTCATGGAAGGTTTGTGTGGTTCAGTGTGGCTGGGGGTGCAATCTTGAATGTGACCAGATGGGGGTGGGTGAGGAGCAGAAACATCAAGAGGGCTGGAGAGGTGGGCAGAGCCGGCGTCTCATGGAGCTTTAGCCCCGGCAGGATCTCCTAGGATGTGGGAGCCATGGGAAGGTGTAACCACTGGGCACCATGATCAGATGAGGGGAGGGAGTGGGAAGAGGCAGCAGGTGACTAGTGAGGAGGTCCAGGGAAGTGAGGTTGAGGGCGGCCCAGGGGTGGGGTTTGGGCTAAACAGGATCTCACAGACAGGACTTGGGCTCAGCCTGCAGGAGGTGGGGGCAGAAGGCAAGAGGGTGGCACTGGGTGCAGGGAAGGGCAGCCTCTGGCCGACATGCACTAAACCCTTTCTCAGTGCTCATGGCAGCTATGCTGCTGCCACCCCTACCGAGCTGATGAGGAACTGAGGCTCAAATCTGGTAGATCACTTAGGGCCACTCAGCAGGAAGAAGGCAAGCTGGAAACAGAATCCGAGGTCTTTTGAGTAGCAGTGAGCAGATTAGACCTGGCCAAGGCCCTCCCCGTGCCTGGACCTCTGGTCCCCTCACCTCACTGCAGAATGGAGGAGGGTGGAGATGAGCTGCCCAGGACCAGCTGCCTCTGGGGCTCTATAAGGTGGTGCTCTCAACGTCTCTTCTCTTTGGCAGAACCAAGGAAAGCATGTACCACTCACTGACATATGCCACCATCCTGGAGATGCAGGCCATGATGACCTTTGACCCTCAGGACATCCTGCTTGCCGGCAACATGATGAAGGAGGCACAGATGCTGTGTCAGAGGTTGGGGGCATTGGGGGCAGGGATCAGAGGTTGGGAGGCCCACCCTGCTGTCACCCTGGCCCATTCCAGGGCCTAACATGCCACTATTCGCACTGCTGCTTTTGGCTAAGAGGTTGTGTCTGCATGTGCTAAGAGCTGTCCCTGTTGGCCCTGCCTCAGGAGCTATGTTGTCTGAGCCAGTCACTGGGCAGCTTTTAGGGACCAGGGTGACAGAGTAGAGGAGGAGGCAGCAAGACCTGGGTGGGCAGGAGGGTAGGCCAGGCTGGACACGAAGAGACATTAAGGAGAGGAGCCGAAACGTCGGACAGGTTGGGAGCTGCCAGGAGCAGCATCACCTGGCCAGGAAGCGGGTTGACCAGGAGCTGCTGTATAGCCTCAGCCCCAGGACTGATCAGGTGGTAACTGTCCCCATTTGACCAGTGAAGGCACTGAGCCTCAGAGAAGTTAAGTGACTTTTTTGCCAGAATATCAAACCTCTTCTGTTTGACCTCTAAGCCTGTGTTCTTTCTTGCTAGCTCTGTCTCTTTAGGAATGTTCTAGGGTGTAGCAGAGAGGGGCAGAGACAAGTGTGGCCTCTCTCTAATCCTCACCTGAGGCCCCTCTTTTTCCTCTTCAGGCACCGGAGGAAGTCTTCTGTAACAGATTCCTTCAGCAGCCTGGTGAACCGCCCCACGCTGGGCCAATTCACTGAAGGTGTGGCATCCAGGACATCCTTTCAACCATGCTAAGCCCAGGTGGCCAGCTCCAGGCCCAGGAAGGGGCAGTTTTCTTCCCTGTCATCGCCTAGGGGGCCAGGCCCTGGTGTCCATGCCAGGACACACATGGGTCAGAGCTGGGGCCTTTTGAGGCATGGCTCTCTAGTGAGGGTGTGGGGGGCAGGTGAGACCCACTTATGCGATAGCACTACTGGCTGAGAACCTGCAAGTCAAGGAAAGGGAAAGCTGTCACAAGGCCAGGGCTCTGCTCCTCAGGCCAATGGGTGTTTAGAGTTGTATGTGCAGTTAAGTTTACTGATTTAATTATCCTAGTGATCGCATGGGCCCCAGAGGGGAATATGGTTTCAGCAGCCGAGTCAATGGGACAACATGAGAAGAAGTGGTCTGGGGTGTCATGGTCCATCTAGGTCTTTGTGCCATGACCACATGCAGCTGTCCTGGAGGCAGCAGTGGCTGACCGCAAGCAGTGAGGGGCTCTGCAGCATAGGGGAAAGTGGCCTTACCCTCCTCAAGAGCCCTGGAAGGTTCTAACGCCCCACAGTGCATCTGATGTTGCTGGGTACACAGCACCTACAGTGGTGCTTGGAGGAGGGTATGAGCTAGCTTCTAGGGACAGTGACGAATGCTCTGAAGCACTGGGTGACGAGGTAGGGGACAGGAGAGGTGCTGACATAGGTTCCCTTTGCTTTTGGGGAAGTTGGGGTGTGAGGATTTGTCCCAGGCCTCCTGACTAGAGTCCCAGGAGGCCACGGGGCTTTGGTTTTCTCCCCACAGAGGAAATCCACGCTGAGGTCTGCTATGCAGAGTGCCTGCTGCAGCGAGCAGCCCTGACCTTCCTGCAGGTAGGGACCCCCACTTGTACAAAGAGGCTGGGATTTCAGAAGATCAGTTTCCACGTCCAACCATGACCCATCCCCTAGAGCAACTGTGACCCATCCCCCATAGCAACCACGACTCATCCCCTGTAGCAATCGTGTCCCATCCTTCACACTCCTGCCCCTGGCGGGGCTCAAAGGGAAGTGATGGGCATCATCTCCTCACATCCTGAGTACACACGCTCCCACCATTACCGGGATGCTGTTTCCACTGTGCGACTGCTGCATTTCCTGTTAAGGGTCATATGGGGGTGATAGGCATTGTCTCAAAGCCTGCTTTCCATTTGATTCGTTCAACAAGCATTGTAGCACCTATGATGTACCAGACTTTTTGCACACGGTATAGGTATGTAGTTTTTACATACCTTACACACATTACAGTTTGTTTTTGCTAACATTTACATTTGTTATTTAATCTTCACCTCAGAGGCCTGTGAAGGGGAGACTTAGAGGAGAGGGGTCACTTTCCCAAGGTCACATGATTAGAAAATGATGAGCAGGGATTTGAACCTAGGTCTGACGAAGTTGGAGCCCAGGTCTCCTCACCACACGGTGGGAATGATGAGAACGATCACTGCATGCTTTTGCCTGAAAGCCTGGGTTATAATGAGAACATATTATCATCATTATATATGTGTATTTAGCAGGAGAGGGACATATGCATTTTAGTGTTGGGGTGCTGGTTAATTTCATAGCTTTTTTTCTATCTTTTTGACCTGGAGAGATGAGAATTGGATTAATCCTAGTCCTTGCTTTAGGATTCACTGTAATGATTGCACCATAAATGAAATTTTGTTTTATTTATTAAATTTTTACAAATAATGAACACCCACCAACACCACACCCGACTGGAGGACAGAACACTGGCAATAACTCTCCTCACCCTGGGGCTCCTCCTCACCCTGTCCATGTACCCAACAGGGGAATCACTACCTAGAGTATTATGTTTATTGTCCCCTACCCTTTTTTGTTGTTGTTGTTGTTGAGACGGAGTCTTGCTCTGTCGCCCAGGCCGGAGTGCAGTGGTGTGATCTTGGCTCACTGCAACCTCCGCCTCCTGGGTTCAAGCGATTTTCCTGCCTCAGCCTCCAGCTAATTTTTGTATTTTTGTATTTTTAGTAGAGATGGGGGTTTCACCACGTTGGCCAGGCTGGTCTCAAACTCCTGACCTCAAGTGATGCGCCCACCTTGGCCCTACTCTATTTTTTTTTTAAATAGCTTTCTCAGCTTTGTACTCATGTCTGAACAGCATATTGTGATATTTCCGTTGGTTTTGAGCTTCCTAAGTGGTGTGGGTCTTGCTTTCTTCACCCAGCCTTATGTGACTATGTTGCTTGCTTTCTTCACCTGGCCTGTGTGTTATTCCCTTGCATGAACACACCGCAGTTTGTTTATCTGTCCTTCTGCTGGTGGCCATTTGGGCTGTTTCTGTTTCTTGGCTATCATGAACTTCCACAACCCTTGTCCATCCGTTTCCGTTGGGTGTACACAGTGAATAGAGCTGCTGGCTGGCTGTAGGCAACAGAGCTTTACATTTATAAATGTGATAAATACCTGCTTGTTGTAAAAACCACAAATAATCCAAAAACAAGCATCCCCCCTCCTTTCTCGCAGTCCCTCCACCTAGAGGGAGATACTGTTAATCACTGGGCGTGGCCCCTCCAGGCCTCTCTCCAAGCACAGAGTATGTGTACCTGGGAGGCTGGTCCAACCCTGGGCATTTTAGAGGTTTTGTTGGGCCAAAGAGCAGGGAGGCCTGGTTTGGCTGACCTCCGACCTCATCCCCCCAGGGTTCCTCACACGGAGGGGCAGTCAGGCCCAGAGCCTTGCATGATCCCTCTCACGCCTGCAGCTGCCCACCTGGGCCAGGCCGTCAGCATCTTTTCCTCCTGCAGGACGAGAACATGGTGAGCTTCATCAAAGGCGGCATCAAAGTTCGAAACAGCTACCAGACCTACAAGTGAGTGGGGCTGGCCATCCGCTTGTGGGGAGACCCTGGGCCACAGCATCTGCTAGGCTGTCCCCCTCAGGCGGCTTTGTGGGAGAAGAAGAGTACTAACCGAGGCCAGAACCTAGTAGACTGCTGTTGCAGGCTGATTTCCATGCCCTCAGGACCTCAGTCTCCTGGAATCATATTCCTCTGGCTTTCTGGCTGTGTCTCTTCCCTTTGGTCCCTTGAGTGCCTACTCCGTGCCTGGCCCCTGCTGGGGAAAATAAGACACAGATTCTGCACAGGGTGTTCTGGTGGGGGCAGGGAGACAGCCACAGGAACAGCCATTTTGGGAACAGCAGCAGAACTCCTACACATCTGTTAAGGCCCAGTCCAAATGCCACTTTCCCCATGAAGCCCTCTTTAACCCCTCTAGTATACAGGAAAGGTATACATACACACACATGCACATGCACACATGCACGCACACACACACACATACACACACACGTGCATGCACGTGCTCTCTGCAGGCCAAAATCATTTCCATGCTATCTCTGGATCCTTGACATTCAAACTGGCCCAGGCACAGGCCGTGTTTATGAATGAAGATTCCGTTTGGAACATTTTTACCCAACATGGCTCCATAATCCCTTATCTATGGTTCCCACAGCAACAAAAGCTCTGAAAATCCAGTCCCCCACTCACCAAGTTTTGCATTAAAACTTATTTCCATTAAAAGTTGATTTGAGGCTGGGCACTGTGGCTCAAGCCTGTAATCCCAGCACTTTGGGAGGCCGAGGCAGGTGGATCACCTGAGGCCAGGAGTTCGAGACCAGCCTGACCAACCTGGTGAAACCCTGTCTCTACTAAAAATACAAAAATTAGCAGGGCGTGGTGGCAGGCACCTGTAATCCCAGCTACTTGGGAGGCTCAGGCAGGAGAATCGCTTGAACCAGGGAGGCGGAGGTTGCAGTGAGCTGATATCGTGCCACTGCACTCCAGCCTGGGTGACAGAGCGAGACGTCATCTCAAAAAAAAAAAAGGGGGGGTGGCGGCAAGAGGTTTATAGAGAGTAGATAAGGTTTGAAATATGAAGAGGATTATGGAGAAATCACTATGGAAACAGCACAAGAGTGACTGGCAGTACGGAGAAGCCCAGCTGAAGCTGGTGATGATAAATTTACAGTGACAGCAATCTTACTACACCTGCTCAGTAGTCCACATGCACCACAGAGAAGGCAGATAATTTACTTCATGCTTTTTCCATCAGGCAGGAGAGATAGAGGAATAACATGGCAAAGGGGGCTAAGGATAGATATGAAGCTGTAGACCAAAAGACAGAGAATAAAGTTTTACTTTTACAGGAGGAAAAGAATTCATGGCGATGGATATTGGGGATAGTTGCATAATAATGTAAATGTAGTTAATACCACTGAATTGTACACTTAAAATTGGTTAAGATGTTAAATTTCATGATATGTATATTTATCACAGTAAAAACAAAATGAAAAAAAGAGGAAAAGTAAAAAAGTCTTTTTTTTTTTTTTTTTTTTGAGACAGAGTCTTGCTCTGTCGCCCAGGCTGGAGTGCAGTGGCATAGTCTCAGCTCATTGCAACCTCTGCCTCCCAGATTCAAGCGATTCTTCTGCCTCAGCCTCCCGAGTGGCTGGGACCACAGACATACGCCACCCCACCTGGCTAATTTTTTGTATTTTTAGTAGAGATGGGGTTTCACCACATTGGCCAGGCTGGTCTCGAACTCCTGACCTCAGGTGATCTGCCTGCCTCGGCCTCCCAAAGTGCTGGGATTACAGGCGTGAGCCACCACGCCTGGCCTATTTATCATCTTTATCTCCCCATTTAATGTGGCTGCTTCCCTGCAGGGATATTGTGAGCTTGTTACAAGGTATTGCTAGGGTATAATGTACCATATAGCATGTGGACATCATGTTACCTTGGAGGCCTATGCTAGAATTTTTCTAGAAAAACCAGACAAGTGCTCTGGCCCCGTCAGCCTCCCTACCAGCTGCCAGAACGAGGTCACCAAAGCACACACCTTGTCAGGCCACCCCTTGCCAACTCCCAAGGCTCCTCTTGCTCTTAAAAGAAGTCCTGGGTTATTGCCAAGTTCTTCCTGGGAGGTCACCCTGGCCCTTCTTGCCACATCTCCCACTTCACTCTGCCTTAGGTCATTGGGCCTTCCCCCAGTTCTTCAAATATGCCAAGGTGGTTCCGACCTCAGGGCCTTTGGACGTGCTGTTCTCTCTGTCAGAAACACTTTCTGCACCGGGCTTTCTGTACCAGATTTCAGCTCAAATGTCACCTCCTCAGGGAAGCCTTTCCTATCCCCAGACTAAGTCAGGCCCAAGGACTCTTCTCCTTGGAGCCTGTCATCACCCTCATAGTGACTCAATCGGGGGGCGGGGGGGGGGGGTCTGTCCCTTAAAGTGAGAATGCTGTGGGGGCAATGGCTTGGTGGTTTTGGTCCCTGCTGTCTTCCAGTGCCTGGCACAGAGAAGCTTCAAGCTTGCTAATTGAAAGCCTTCAAAATGCTGTCAGCCCAGGAAGGAGGCAGACACATCATTAAAAGCCTCTGTCCTGCCCCAGGTGGCTGGGCTAGGGGCTCTGTGCAGTTGGTAACCAGGAGAAATAGAGTTGAATTCCAACCAGGAGACTCCAGGAAGACTTCCTGAAGGAGGAGGTGTTTTGGTTAGCCCAGTGGTTTTCAGCTAGGGGTGACTTCCCCCTGTGAGACTTTTGGCAGTGTCTGGAGACATTCTGGATGTCCAGCTAGGGAGACGATGCTACTGGCATCTGGTGCTCAGGGGCCATGGATGCTGCTAAACATCCTACAATGCACAGAACAGCTCCCCTGCCACCCCCACCAACAAAGAATTATCCAGCCCAAAATGTCAGTAGCGCGGAGGCTGAGAAAACCTCTTTTAGATAGGATGTGGAATACGAACAAATGTCCAGAAGCTGCCCATGGCTGAGTGTGCCAGGGCCCATACGGCTGAAATTCAGGGGGTGAGGAGTGTGTTATCATGGTGGGAGATGGGGTTCGAAATTCCTCAAATACCAGCTCTCAGGATTACCAGAACTGTATGAATCCACCACCAGGGAGTTTACCTGAGGCCCAGCTGGAAGGGGTCCCAGCCCCTACCCCCCACCCCCAGCAGTGGCTGAAACAGGACTTGGCATCTCTCTGCAGGGAGCTGGACAGCCTTGTTCAGTCCTCACAATACTGCAAGGGTGAGAACCACCCGCACTTTGAAGGAGGAGTGAAGCTTGGTGTAGGGGCCTTCAACCTGGTGAGTGCTCCTCCTCCATTTCCACAGCACCTGGCTTGAGCTCAGTCTCCCCTTCTGTCCCTGACTCATGTGTGGTCACTGCCAAGTGCCCCTGCACCTGGCTGTGTGCTGGGCACCAGGATCCAGAGGTGACCAGACATGTGGCCAGCCTTCAGGGGCTCACAGCTGGGGTGGGGGTGGTGTGGGCGCTGGAGCCAGCTCCAGAGTCCATCGGTGCATTTCTTCCCAAGTCAGGCCAGTAGCTTGAAATCCACCATGGTGGAACCTTCACAGCACCCGACCTTGGCACACACAATAAATCAGGGCTTTCTCTGCCCTGGAGAGCTGCTGGTTAAACATTTACCAGTGTCAGGGAAGGAGACAGTCCTGAAACCAGCTGATGACTTAGAGGGGACAGAGAACTAAGTCTTGTTCCTGCATGGAGTGGGGGAAGGTTTCCTACGGGAGGGGGTGAGCATCTGTGCTGGCTCCTGAAGGATCCCTAGGAGTTTCCCAGCTGGGGAGGGGCTTCCAGGCAGAGGGAGCAGGAAGGCTGGGAAAACTGCCTGATCAAGGGAGGAGGAGCTTCCCAGGGAAGATTTAGCCTCAGGAACCTAGGTGGCCAGGGGTTTCCTGGCTAGGCTTCCTGGCACCTGCCCATGGACCCCTGATATCTTAGCTGCCATCTACTGCCCGAGCTTTGGAAAACATTGGCTAGAGGCTTTCAAAGTTAGAGGGGTGGCCCTCTCCCCTCCAGGTAAAGCCTGTTAAAGAGCTAGACTTGGGACAGTGGGGGTGGCCCCTGCCCACTCTGGGTACCTTCACAGGCTTGATTGCCTCCTTTCTTGCAGACACTGTCCATGCTTCCTACTAGGATCCTGAGGCTGTTGGAGTTTGTGGGGTTTTCAGGAAACAAGGTAACCACCTGCCTCCTAGCACCCCTGACCTGCTCAGCCCCAGAACTGGGGCTGGGCTGCACAGGGTGGGGCTGACAGGCCACAGGGCCTAGGAGCCCATCCTGGCTCAGCCCCTCTCATTGTATGGCCCTGGACAATGCCCAGACCTCCCTGGGCCTCAGTCTTCTCTCTGGACAAATGGGGCTAGTGATCCCTGCCTGGCCCTCCCAGGGTGCAGAGGCTCTGGGTGGGTGTGGGTGTGAAGGGCAGCTCCATCAGTGGCCCAGGATCACACATTCTCTGAGCCTGACAGGTGTCAGGGGCTGGTCCCTCTCTCCCTAGATACTGCCTCACTTTAAGACTTTGAGTAAGTCCTTCCCCCAAGGACCATTTTCTGGTGCTACCACTTCATCCAGCAGATGCCTGAGGGAAGCCCTACTGGGCATCAGACCTTGAGGAGGAACCAGAGAACTCAAGCACCCAAAGACTTTACTGAGGGCAAGAACCTGAGTACCAACCCCAGGTTGAAGGCAGCAGATCAGGGAGGGCTTTCTGGTGGAGGAGGCCTAGTGTGGTAGAAGGAGCACTGGCCTGGAAGTTAGGAGCTCTGGGTCAGTCCAGCCTCATCCCCTTTTCTCTGTGACTCTGAGCAAGTCCCTCTCTTCTTTGAGCCTCTTTTTAGTAAAATAAGGGCCTTGTTAATGGACCAGATAAATGTTTCTCAAACGTGCACTGGCCCTTACTGATATTTGCCACACCCACGGACCTCTCTATTATAATTTATATATTACTTTTCTCAAAAGTGACTCATGACTTTTACTGAAATTGATTTAAAGGAAACATCTCTACACAAACCTCCATATTATTTGGCATGATAAGAACATAATCATAAAAATAAATACCACGAGGGCCCAGCCATCTTTTGGAAAGCCCAGCTAGACTGTGTAGCCCAGGCTCAGCCAGGCTTCCTCTTTCTGAGAAAGCGGGCTTAGGGTGAGAGAGTTCAAACCCCACGAGCAAAGGACTGGGGATTTCTCCTGGGCACCACCAAAGGATAGAAAGATAACAGAAGGGAAAACCCTCACCGTGACTCAGTGTTTCCTGGCATCTGCCCATGGACCCCTGAAATCTTAGCTGCTATCTGCTGCCCGAGCTTTGGAAAACATTGGCTAGAGGCTGTGAAGGTCTCTTTCAGTTTTGTTTCCTTAAGAAAGCGCATGGGTCATGAGTAGGATTTCAGGATGAAGGGAGGACCCAGAGGTGAGGCAGTGTGGCCTGGCCAGGAGGGTTGCGGGACCTACTGTGCCAGCCTGGGCTTCCTCTTTATCTCGAAGGCAGGGGAGCCATGGAGGGTTTGAGGCAGGAGTGAGGCAGGTCAGATTTGTGTTTTAGAAAGAACAAGAATGCTCTGGAGGACAGACAGAGGGGCAGAGACTGCAGGCAGGGAAACAAGGTGGGGGGTCTGCCCCCAGCCCCTCCCCAGCCAGGCTCTGGAGGCTTCTCCCCCAGGAAGCCTTCCCAGGCCCCACCTATGCCCTGAGCCCATGGCTGGGATCATCCACCTCCGTGTCTCTCCTGCTCCCAACCAGACCTTGGGCCCTCAATACCCATCGCAGGGCGGCCAAGCCCGTGACTACAGGGAGGCTGGGGAAGGGGCTGTGGAGAAGGTGGGGGACACCTCAGACCCGCCAAGCCTTTGTCCTGGCCTTGGCAGCCGTGTCCCCTTCTCCCAGGAATGTGCTGGGGCACTGAGGGGCAGCCACTTGCTCAGGGCCACACAGCTGACCTGGCCCCCAGGGTTCCAGTGCTCTTCCGCCCCTGTGCCGGCAGCACTGCCCACACAGCTGTCCAGCTGCCTCCCAGGCCCCTGCCCTCTCTGGGAGCCTCACCCACCCTCCCATCCCCTCAGGACTATGGGCTGCTGCAGCTGGAGGAGGGAGCGTCAGGGCACAGCTTCCGCTCTGTGCTCTGTGTCATGCTCCTGCTGTGCTACCACACCTTCCTCACCTTCGTGCTCGGTAGGTGTACAGGGGGACCTGGGGCCCTGGGGTTTGGTCGTCTCCAAGGGGGAAGGAGAACGAGGGGCTACAGACCCTGTTCATGCCCTGTGGCTAGGGATAGGGGTACTGAAACCAGAAACAGAGCCACATCCACTGTCCTGGGGACTGGCCTGCTGACGCCCACTGCCTCACAGTGTGACTGGGTTCCAGCCTCAGTTTTCTCATCTGTGAAATGGGGGTGGTTGTGCCCACCCTGTAGAGGGTGTGAAGACACTGTGTACAGCACCTTATGGTTCTGGGCACAGCCTTGGTGGATGCAGGCTCCTGGTTATCGAGCCCTGTGAAGTGCTGGGGGCGATATCTGCCCTGCCTTATTTAATCCTCATGTCACCCTAGGGACAGGGAGAATTATCTCGATTTCACAGAGGGGGAGGGGGAGACCCTGGGAAGCCCCTGCTGGGTTGCTGGCAGGATCACAGGAGCCAGGGGTGGTGACATGTTCTGTGTCTCCCCCACCATCTCCTCCAGGTACTGGGAACGTCAACATCGAGGAGGCCGAGAAGCTCTTGAAGCCCTACCTGAACCGGTACCCTAAGGTGAGCCCCATGTGCTGCCCGGTACCCCCAGCCCACAAACACCCACAGACCCCACGGACCCACACGGACTTACATGTGTGTCATTGCAGGGTGCCATCTTCCTGTTCTTTGCAGGGAGGATTGAAGTCATTAAAGGCAACATTGATGCAGTGAGTGATGGGGGTCCGGGCCGGGGCTGGGGATCCCTCGGGGTCTCCCAGACCAGCAGGAAGTCAGGCACATGTGACATACTCAGGGACAGGATAGACTGGGGGCGGGGGGGGGGCCAAGAGAGAACCAACCAGAGAGCAGGGGCAGGAGAGGCCCTTCTGGCAGAGCAGCCTGGGAAGACAAGGGAGGAGGAGGCATTTGTGGTGCCTGGGATTTTGACTGGGAGATATAGGACTGCAGCATTGCAGTGGAGGGAGGTGGAGGGAGGTGCTTGAGGGAGGCAGAGGTTAGGAAAGCCCATCTGTTTAGGGCATGACGATTAGGCTGGAGTCTGGTACCTCCCCTCCATTATAGCTCTCTCCTGCTCTTTCATTTTGTTACTAAAAACCAGAGTCCTAGGCGGGGGCTGTATTTGAGCCCAACGTCATGTAAGACTTAGGAGGTAAAACCAGGACTGGAGGCCAGATCTCCTGGCTCCTGGGGCCCCACCTGAGCCTAGCACAGGGCTGGACCACTATGCCCTGGAGGAGTCCCGGTCTGCTGTGGTGTTGGGAGGTTCGGAGGATGCAGAGGGGTTGGGGCTGGGTGGGCACCCGTCAGGCTGACCAGAAGGTGCCTGCAGGCCATCCGGCGTTTCGAGGAGTGCTGTGAGGCCCAGCAGCACTGGAAGCAGTTCCACCACATGTGCTACTGGGAGCTGATGTGGTGCTTCACCTACAAGGGCCAGTGGAAGATGTCCTACTTCTACGCCGACCTGCTCAGCAAGGAGAACTGCTGGTCCAAGGTGGGCTGATGCCACGTGTTAGGGGCATTGGGTGACCAGGGCTGACTGTGTGCCTCCAGACCACGGGCCAAATCCCTAACTGAACACAGATGTCTCAGCTGGAATCTAAACATAACCTTAAATTCTAATAGGACTCAGGCTTGGAAGGAACTAAAGACCACAAGAGAAACTTCTGAACCACAATGTGTCACAAAGAGATTTCTAGTCACAAAGGACAGAAACATGGCTCCCTCTGTCCAGTAGAACTGTTTCTGTGGTAGAAATGTTCTACTTATGCACTGCCCAAATATGGTAGTCACCAGCCACATGTGCACAATGAGCACATGAAATGTGCCTAGTGCAACTGGGAAACTGATTGTTTTCAGTTTTATTTAATTTTAATTAACTAAATGTTAAATTTAAATAGCCATGTAGGGCTTGTGGCCACTATATTGGACTATGCAGGTCCAAAACACAAAAGGCTCATATAACTGAACATTCTTGGCACATCCGACTTCAGGTAGGGCTGGATCCAGGAATTCAAATGATGTCGTCTGGCTTGGTCTTTCCATTTGTGGCTGTGCTCTCTCCTATGACATCTTTGTTTCTGCTGCATCTTTGCAGGAAGGTTCTCTCCATGTGACAGGCAAGGTGGCCACGGGCTGCTTCTACTCATATCCTCCCCTTGGTTTCAACCAGAGTCCCACAGTTTGAGCCTCACTGGTCTGACTTGTCACCTGCCAATGCCTGGAACAGAGGGGTGGGAAGATTCCTCATGGGCTGAGAGTAGGAGAGGGGTGGTTCCACAGAAGAAAATGATGCACCCAGAAATAGTGGAGGGATTAACAAGATGCCATACAGGCAAAACAAAGCCAAACAGATGCCCGCCTACCAAAGATGAAATTTATCATGGTAAGTATTGAAATAAGTGTTAGCTTGTACCATCATAGTAATGATAGTGCAGAAATTGGAACCAAGAGTCTTACAACCACCTAGCTCAGCAAACGTCTAATCTGTTATTTGTAAATACACAGGACATGTGTCTTCATGGCTTCATCCCCTGCCCATAGCAGACATTGCTAATCAATCCTCTGCCATGAGCCTAGCTGTGACCTTAGATACCTTCCCTGCAAAGCTCCAGGCAGCCGTTAGAACTGACCCACATTGGCACCTGTTAGGAGACCTGTCATCTGCATCTGGTCCCTCCCCCTCCTCTGCATGGAGGTCTCTTCCGTAGCCCTGCCTGGGGACCAAGCTGAAGGGGAATTCTCTGGGTCTGGGGCAGGTGGGGCTGGGGAAGGGAGCAGGCTTCTACTGAGCTCTCAACATGTCTGGCACCTGTCATGTCCTCCACACCACACCCAGTGAGGAGAAGTTATTATCTCCATTGGGCACATGAGGGCCACTGATGCTAAGCGAGGACTGTGACTTTCCCACCCACATGGCTGTTGGTGACAGACACCGGATTTGAGGACAGTCCTGTGTGACTCAGAGGCCTCTGCTTCTCTCTTGCTCCTAGAGTCCTCCTGAGGAGTCGGGGCTTGCCCTGAGCCCACCCTGCTGTTGAAGGTGCTTCCTCAGGCCCAGCTCCCATGGCCCCCACACCCCCTCCTCATCACCTCCTACTCCCAAAAAGGACAAAGCCTCAGGGAACCTTTTTTCTTTTTTTAGAGACAGGGTCTTGCTATGTTGGTCAGGCTAGTCTTGAACTCCTGGGCCCAAGCAATCTTCCCACCTCTGCCTCCTAAAGTGCTGGGATTCTGGGCCTTAGGGAACCTTTTTGAACTGAAAGTGACTCTCGAAGCCTTCCTGTAGAGTGAGGTGGGTGGCTGGGGCTAACCATATGGGGAAGGAGAGACCTGGTGGGGGCACACAGCTGCTATATAGAGGAACAGAAGGTGGGCCAGGCCTCCCAGCTGTCAGGAAATCTGGCTCAGTCCCCAGACCGCTGTGTGGCTTTGGGGTGGCCAGTCCCTCTCTCTCTGCAACACTCTCCTCATGAGGACTTCTGTGAAAAATGGGGGTTGTAACCCTCTGAGTTCTGGGGCCCCACCCATTTCTAATCTCCAGAACTTGGCCACCACAGACTCCACCAACTTCTAGTCCTGGGGCCTGGGCCTCTGGCCATTGCCATAGGCACCACCTGCTCTGTGCAGGCAGCGCCCCCCTCTGCCAGGATCCTCCGAGGTCAGCTGCTGGGTCTGACCCGCAGACCCTGGCTGAGCGACGGATGAACGGAGTATGCAGACACAGGCTTGCCTGTCAGCAGATGGGGGACCCCTGCCAGAGTCAGCAGCGGCCCCCATAAGCCTGCCACGCTTGCATTTATTTAGTACAGATGTAATGACAAAGGCCTAAAGCAAACTCCATTTGTGGGTAATTAACATTGTCGCCCCCCCAGAAAGAGCAGTCCTCCGCATGATGATTAAAGGCCAGGTTCCGAGGCCTAAGTAAACCAACTTATCTAGATCAATTCCCTTACTTCTTGTTATCTACTCTGAGAGAATTCAGCTGCCTTCAGCCAAATCCTTTCCCGAAGCTTTTGCAAAACCTCCGAGCCTTCCAAGGTTTGCTTCTTTCTGTAATTTTTCTCACCACCCTGACCTATCTCCTGCAGTCAGCCCTGTGGAGGCCTTTGTGTTTCCCCCAGTGCTGGCAGCCTAGAGGCTGAGATGGCCAGAAACAAGGTGGTGACAGTGGCGTGCTCAGGGCTTGGGAAACCCAAGGAGCTAAAGGCATGCCCAGGCAACCAAAGAGGACAGGAAGGCTTCTGAGGAGAGACCTCTGAGGTGGGTCTTGGAGAGGAAGGACTTAGGGAGGCAGAGTGGAGGAAGTGAGAGGACACCCCAAGCCAAGAGGGCGGCAGGACCAAAGGCTCAGAAGCCAGGGCGCTGCAGAGGGGCTGTGTGCCACAGGGTGAAGAGTTTGTGTGGCAGAAGGGCAGGGGGCTTGCATCAGGGGTGACAGCTGCTCTTTTGTCCCAGCATAGCCCCTGTACATCCCTGGAGAGCTGGGGCGTCCACAACTCTAAGTCACAGCCCCCATCCTAACCCTGGTGGTGCAGTGAGGGTGAGCTGTCTGTGGGCAGGAGGGAAGACTCTTGGAGATGAGCCTGGTGAAGGGATAATGGCATCCCGGGCCGAGGAGCAGCACAGGCAGAGGCCTGGGGAGAGTTTAAGGAGTGTAGGGGAGGAAATGGCAGAAGATGAGCCAGAAAAAGAAAGGTTAGGGCAGGTCCTGGAGGACATGAGTGGCTGTTTGGGCTTTATCCAGCAGTGGGGGAGCCTTGGCAGGCTTGTGGCTTAGATAGGTGCTTTAGAAAGCCCACCAGCAGTTGCTGGGCCACCCCGCTGGCTGGGTCCTGTTCTAAGGCAGGAAATACAAGCATGAGCAGGAAAAGACCCCCTCAAGGCTCACGTCCTAGTGGGGAGACAAGAAACACAGATGGGCAATATAACACGATGTCTGGTTCCAGTAAGTGCAGTGAAGAACAAGCGAGGCTGGATGCAGGGAGTGATGGGAGGGGCTTTGTAAGGGGAGGTCGGGGGAAGCCTGTCTCAGAGGACACCAGAATGGAGCGCAGGAGCAGCACGTGGCAGTCACATGGCAGGCCGTTAGGGCAGAGGGAGCTGGGCAGGGCACAGCAGGGCAGGAGTGTGTTTGATGTGTCCTGGGAACCGCCCTGAGGCCGTCGTGTGGCTGGAGTGCTGCAGGTGTCAAGGAAATTGTAGGAGATGTCTCCTGAGTGTGATGGAATATAACCAGATTTCCAGAAGGAACTGACATGATCTGACTTAAAAAGGTCAGTGTGCGAAATGGCTTGCAGGGGACAGGAGTGGGAGCAGGGAGATAGGAGACAATGTGTACCAGGACAGCAGAAAGACATCCCGGGTAGCCTGGAACAGGGAGACGGTGTGGAGATGGTGGCAGTCCGATAATGAGAGCCGTAGGGCAAGGCCAGCAGGATCCTAGAGTGAGACGGGAGGTAAAGTCACCGGGACTTGGTGTCTCCACGTCAGGGGCAGGGGAAAGGGAGAGGACAAGGGTGACCCGGGAGGTTAAAGATGGGACCGGGGCCAGACGCAGTGGCTCATGCCTGTAATCCTAGCACTTTGGGAGGCTGAGGCGGGCGGATAGCTTGAGGTCAGGAGTTTGAAACCAGCCTGGCCAACATGGTGAAACCCCGTCTCTACTAAAATATACAAAAATTAGCCTGGCGTGGTGGTGCATGCCTGCAGTCCCAGCTATTCAGGAGGCTGAGGCAACAAGAATCGCTTGAACCTGGGAGGCGGAGGTTGCAGTGAGCCGAGATCGCGCCATAGCACTCCAGCCTTAGCCTGGGCGACAGAGCGAGACCACATCAAAAAAAAAAAAAGATGGGACCGGGAACAGATTTCAGGGAGGGAGACTCTTCCCGCCGTGGCCCACGAAGACCAGCTTTCCCTCATGTTGTGAAGGGCGGGCTGAGGCCCCGGCATGGGTGGGGCTGCCAGGTGGAGGCCGCTTTCCGCCTGCTTTAGGCAGGACTCCCGGATGTCCGGCGCCTTTTCCTTTCCACCCTTTCTTAGCCAGGAGGCAGGAGCTGTGGTTCGGGGCTTGGCCACTTGAGGGCAGCACAGAGCCAGGCTCCTGTCTCAGGACTTCTGAGGAAGGGGCGTGGTGTGCAGGGAGGACTGGGTGGGGTAGGGGGTCTCCCGCAGGGCCACGGTTTCCCTGTCAGGGCTGGCTGTGCATTTAGTGGGCAAGGTGCTGGGGTTGACTCCCGGCTCTGCCCCAGTAGCTCTGGGGTCCCAGGAAGCAGAGGTGGGGTACGGACTCCTTTCTGGCATTGGCTTTGGGATCAAGCGAGGTGCTGGATGTGGTGTGCCTGGCACACACAGCAAGGCAGTTAGTTCTACCAGGGTGGCCCGAGCTGACCCGACCCAGGCCCTGCTCACGTTTCTGGCTCAAGCCTCTTCTTTTTACAGCCCGTGCTTCATCCTCCTATTGGTAGTCCACACACATCCTGCCACCTCCTGGCTTTGCTCAGCCTCTTCCTCCTGGCTGGAAGGCCTGTCTGGGGCCTCAGGGAATTTCCCCATTGCCCTTCAGGGGCCCACTGTGAAGCTGTTGCTTCCCGGAAGCCCCGAGTGCGCCCCTGTCCTTGTGTCTCTGCCGCAGCCCCAGTCTGTCCTGCCTATTACTAGTTGCATGGGTTCTTCTTGCCACTGCTTCAAGTGGAGAAGAAGGTGGCTGCTTTGACATGGGTTGTCCTGGATTCAGGTCTTCAAGTTGCTTCAGCTTCTTACCTTCATTTCTCCCCTGGGGCTTGGAGACAACGGGAGCTCCTGTGCTGGGCCACGTGAGGTCCGTCTGCAGATTCCAGCCCGGCTGGGGCTGGAGGAGGGCTGCTCACACCTGGCTGTTGCTCTGTCTCGCACAGGCCACCTACATTTACATGAAGGCCGCCTACCTCAGCATGTTTGGGAAGGAGGACCACAAGCCGTTCGGGGACGACGAAGTGGAATTATTTCGGTGGGTCCCACATCGTGCTCCCACTGTGTAGGCCACTCCCACCGTGTAGGCCGCTATGGACAGACCAGCCAGGCCACCCTGAGCTGTGGGCACTGGGGAGGGAGGAGTAGGGTGGCTCCCTGCCCCCACCCGCGGACTGCCCCCCCTGCGTGTCCTCCCCTCCCATCACCACCCCATGCTGCTGCTGCTGGTGGTTGGAGCCCTTTGACTTTCTTCAGAGGCTTTCTTTCACAGAAATGGTTTTGCTAATATCGTCTTCCTCCGAGTCTCTTTCATGTGGACAGTAGGACAGATGTGGCTCCAAGGTCCAGGGAGGGAAGGTCTTTCACTCTGCTGAGTTAACCTGAGACACTCAGAGAAGCACAGTAGAGAGCTGACAGTCGGAATCGAACAAACAAGAGTAAACCCAGCCTCTGCTTGTTCTTAGCTGTGTCACCTTGGACAACTTCAGCATCTGTAAAATGGGAACAACAACCTCCACCTCGCAGCACTGTTTTGCAAATCAACTAGATAATAAATGTTAAGAGCCTGGCGCATAGAACTAGGAGCCTAGAAGCTGCCCACTAAGTGGTGGCTGTTTTCATTCTTACCTGTACCACCGTGTTTGCTTCCTATGAAGTGTCTTTAGAGCAGAGCTCAGCCTTGGCAGGTGGAGGATGGAGCTTAGAGCCTTCCTCCAGTCTTGGTGAGGTTGAGCCCAATTTGCAGACCCAGAAATGGGTATAATATGAGCCTCCTAGGCTACTGTTGTCACAATAATAGGGCATTTATCACTTACAGAGTGTCTGCTACTACAGCAGACTCCATGTCCCCCTCTCAGATGACTCTTCCAGAAAGCCTAGGAGGGCAGGTGTCATTACCTCCATTTTAGAGATGAGGAAATTAAGGCCAAGAGAGGTTCTACAGTGAATAAGCAAAGGAAGAGTTTGGGGGGACCTCACACCCACATCCAGCTGTTCCCTGAGCCTAAATGGCTCAGGCCTGAGGTCACAGCCACACCCGGTGACTGTGGCAGAAATAGGAGGAGGGTGGGATGGAGCTGGTGGGTGAGGCCCCAGATGTGGGGGCGTGCCTGGTGGCATACCGCATTTTGCTCTGCCCTTGGAAACAGCTGAGAAGGCCAGAACTCGCGAGGCAAGAGTTAATTAAGGGTTTGAGCTGTTTGGTCTTGGGTAGGTCCCACCCTTTCTCCGAGTGTTGGTCTCTCCTGTGAAATTGGGGTTAAACTTCTCTTGGATCCTCCCCAGAAATGGAGCCTGGGAGTGGAGGCGATAACTAGGAGGCAGGGCCGGCCCAGGGGTGTTTGGCACACTCTCATCTCTGCCAGCTGGCGGGGAGGAACCCCTTGCCCAGCCATAGGAAGTGGCCAGGTCTTGGGGCAGGGTCTCTAAAATTATAGCCGCAGGCTATTTCAGACCTAGAAGGCTCTTTAGAGTCTAACACTGTCATTGTGCAGATGGGGAAACTGAGGCCCAGAGAGGCGCCAAGCATAGCTGGGTAGGCTGGGGACCCTCTGCCCTCTCCTGCTCTTTTTCATCCTCTCCCACCCTCCCCATCTCTTTCGCAGAGCTGTGCCAGGCCTGAAGCTCAAGATTGCTGGGAAATCTCTACCCACAGAGAAGTTTGCCATCCGGAAGTCCCGGCGCTACTTCTCCTCCAACCCTATCTCGCTGCCAGTGCCTGCTCTGGTGGGTAGGAGGTCTGGACTGGCGCTGCCCTCCGGGTATAGGATTGTGGGGATTCACTGAGAGCCACAGCCAGGGGGAGGTGGATGAGGAGAAAGACCTTCATGCCTCAGGGGCCTGGGGAGGGTTTCACAATTCACCTGGGAGTCTGGCCCAGCCCCTGCCCCTTAGAGAGGGTCCATTGGGGCTGAGAGTGGAGAGACAGGCAGGCTGCAGATAAAAGGCAGAGAGGGACACCCTCCTGGACAGAGAGCCCCATGTCCATGTGCCCAGGCAGCGGCATCACCCGGCTGCCAGTGATCCCAGCCTGTCTGCTCCAGTCTTGTCACAATGATTATAATTGTTTTCACGGTCCCCCTCACTCGGCCAACCTTTTCACGTTATATTCAACTCTGAACTCACATAATAGCCAACATCGTTATCGAGCACTTGCTATATTCAAGGCTGCCCACACCCATTGCCTATTGCCTGATTTGAGACTCACATCAACCCTCTGAGTAGGCGCTGCTGGTGTCTCCATTTTACAGATGGGGGTAATAAGGCCTAATAGATTAGTAGAAAGATCAAATAACTTGCCCAGGTCACACAGCTGGTGAGTTGGAGTCAGAATTTGAACTCAGCAGTCTGGGCCCACAGCCCATATTCTGAGCCATGGTTGTGATGCTAATTCTATGCACGATTTGAGTAGGCATCAGATAAAGTTCCAGCTTGCTAAGAGTCCTTGTTATTCAAGTAGTAAGGGAGCCAGAAAAGTAGAAGGAAGCCTGCTTGAGAGACCTTTTTCTGGTCCTGGCTGTACTGTTCATTAACTGAGTAGCTTTAGGTCGGTTCCCTCTTCCCCTTATGTAAAATGGGTATAATAATAGATTCCTTTCCCATTTTACAGAGCAGTTATGAGTATCAACGAGGAAAATGTGTTAAACACTTTATAAATTGAAACGGTCAATATTTATATAGTTTGATTTAGCACTTACAACCTGAATATTTCTAAAGTTTTAAAATATTTTATGGTTTAAAATATACCATAGGCCAGGCATGGTGGCTCACGCCTGTAATCCCAGCACTTTGGGAGGCTAAGGCAGGCAGATCACCTGAGGTCAGGAGTTAGAGACTGGCCTGATCAACATGGAGAAACCCCACCTCTACTAAAAATACAAAATTAGCCGGGCGTGGTGGCGCATGCCTGTAATCCCAGTTACTCGGGAGGCTGAGGCAGGAGAATCTCTTGAATCTGAAAGGTGGAGGTTGCAGTGAGCTGAGATCGTGCCATTGCACTCCAGCCTGGGCAACAAGAGTGAAACTCCATCTCAAAAAAAAAAAAAAAAAATACAGTAAAGCTATTACTATCAAGTGGAGCAGGAGGATATTGTAGGAAGGGCAAGGGCAGCAACTATACCAAAAACTTAGGGGAGAATTTCCCAAACTGTAATCTGCAAAATACTGTTTATGCATTAAATGATTTATGTGATTAAATACATTTGGGAAAGACTGGCCTAAACACAGTTTATATACTATAGGCTTTCTTGGAGTCTTTATATATTAATCTAAGAAGAAGTTTAAAGATATGTTTTTTCTCTAACTTATTTGGCCACAGAATCATTTCTAATTTTTATTTATTTCGGGGGAAGGGGAGAATCCTTTTTTAAAAAATGAAACATTTGCTGGCTGGGTGTGGTGGTTCATGCCTGTAATCCCAGAACTTTGGGAGGCCAGGGTAGGTGGATCGTTTGAGACCAGGAGTTCAAGACCAGCCTGGCCAACATGGTGAAACCCCATCTTTACAAAAAATTCAAAATTTAGTGGGGCATGGTGTCCTGCATCTGTAGTCCCAGTTTCTTGGGAGGCTGAGGTGGGAGGATCGCTTGAGCCCAGGAGGTCAAGGCTACAGTGAGCTGTGATAGTGCCACTGCACTCCAGCCTGGGTGACAGAGTGAGACCCTGTCTCTAAAATAAAATAAAATAGAATGAAACATTTGCTAACTTGGGACCACAGAACAGTTGAGAAATACTGGTCTAAACTGAAATTCCCTTCCTAGAACATAACAAGAACCACAACAATAATGTCTTTCTAGAACTTTATGGCTACAAAGTGTTTTCACATCCATTATCTTCTTTGATAGTTTAGGAAATGCTCATTTAAGCAAACACAGTTACTATGAATGAAAGTTTAGTACTATTATTTTATTTTATTTATTTTTAAATATTTATTTTAGAGGTGGGGTCTCACTCTGTCATGCAGGCTGGAGTGTAGTGGTGATATCAGCTCACCACAGCCTCAAACTCCTGGGCTCAAAGGATCCTCTCACTTCAGCCTCCTGACTACAGGTGTGCACCGCCATGCTCAGCTACTATTTTTATTTTTTTGTAGAGATGATATCTCACTGTGTTGCCCAAGCTGGTGTTGAACTCCAGGGCTCAAGAGATCCTCTAACCTCAGCCTCCCAAAGTGCTGGAATTACAGGCGTAAGCCACTGCATTCAGCCTAATTTAGTATTCTGAGCTTCCTGGCAGTCGAGGCAAAAACAAACAAACAAAAGGAACCAATAGCCTGACAAAGACATGGTGAAAAGAATTTTTTTTTTTTTTTTGAGATAGAATCTCACTCTGTCACCCAGGCTGGAATGCAGTGGGGTGATCATAGCTCACTGCAGCCTAGATTTCTTGGGCTCCAGCGATCCTCCCACCTAAGCCTCCCAAGTAGCTGGGACCCCAGGCTTGCACCACCATGCCTGGCTAATTTTTTTTTTTTTTTTTTTTTTTTTTTTGGTGGAGATGGGGTTTCGCCATGTTGCCCAGGCTGGTCTTGAACTCCTGAGCTCAAGTGATTATGATCCACCTGCCTAAGCCTTCCAAAGTGCTGGGATTACAGGTGTGAGCCACCATACCTGGCCCCAAGACTTTTTTTTTGAGACGGAGTCTCTGTCACCCAGGCTGGAGTGCAGTGGTGCCATCTCGGCTCACTGCAACTTCCGCTTCCTGGATTCAAGTGATTCTCCTGTCTCAGCCTCCCGAGTAGCTGGAATTATAGGTGTGTGCCACCACACCCGGCTAATTTTTGTATTTTTAGTAGAGATGGGGTTTCACCATGTTGGCCAGGCTAGTCTCGAACTCCTGACCTCAGGTGATCCACTCATCTCGGCCTCCCAAAGTGCTGGGATTACAGGCGTGAGCCGCTGTGCCTGGCCCCCCCCAAATTTTTTTAACTAAAAAAAAAGAATCTAAGAAAAAGAATAAAAGGAATCAGATGTGTTTTAAGAGTCTCAATGATGGTAACTTCATTCTAAAGGAAATGGAATATGAATGTCATTATTTAGCCCATTGCTTTGGGAGACTAGGAGTAGAAGAGAAGGTGACATAGCCTTAAATTCTGTTGTCCTGAAATGTGTGTATGGAGCATGGCCTGGTCCTCAAAGGACAGAAAGTGTTTGGCCCCAGAGAGGTTGGGAGAAAGGACATAATAGCACTCAGGGAGGGCATGAGCAGGAAAATAGCTGGAAAACTTGGGCAGCTATGAGCAGCACATTACGGACATTGGTCCATCTTACATCTTCACTGGGGTAAGGTGAGATCTCAGGAGGAAATCAATGATAAGGCTCCCATAACCCCCTCAGACCCACAGCTTCACAGGCTGACTGAGACCTGTCATGGATGATTAGAGCTAGAAGGTCCTTTAGTGAACCTCTGATCTGAACTGCCCATTTTGTAGATGGGAAAACTGAGGCCCCATTAGGGAAGAAACCTAGGACTGACTTGCCCCCCTGCCTTCAGGAAATGATGTACATCTGGAACGGCTACGCCGTGATTGGGAAGCAGCCGAAACTCACGGATGGGATACTTGAGATTATCACTAAGGCTGAAGAGATGCTGGAGAAAGGCCCAGGTGACTTCCCTCAGGCCCTTGGGCCTGCCATGCTAGGTCAGGTCTTTACAGCTGAAGCTTCCCTCTGCCAAAAATGTCCTTCCTCCTTTCCCTACCCTGGCAACTCTCCTTTATCTCTCTAGACTGAGCTCCTCCAAGCAGCTGTTCCTTGTCCACCTGGTAGGGTCAAAGCCTCTGGGCTCCCGCAGCCTTGGGGCTTCCTTCAGTGCTGACCTCACTGTATTGTCATTGTCTCAGTATTTGCCTTTCCTTCTTAGATGTGACCCCTGCTGAGGACAGGGACTGTGTCTGATTTACCTGTGTCCCTTTGACCTAGCACAAAGTAGGGGGCTCCATAAGTAACTGCTGCAGAAATGAACAAGTCTGTCTTTTTCCCTCACATCCCTATTTTCAGAGAACGAGTACTCAGTGGATGACGAGTGCTTGGTGAAATTGTTGAAAGGCCTGTGTCTGAAATACCTGGGCCGTGTCCAGGAGGCCGAGGAGAATTTTAGGAGCATCTCTGCCAAGTAAGTGCCTCTGCAGCTGCTCCTTCTGGGTCTGAGTCTCCTGGGTAGAATATTCAGGGCTTCTCCATCCTCATGCCCACTGCAGTGGCTGACCCTAGCCAACCCCCACTCACCACACAGGTACTAAACCAGTGTCCACTCTGTGCCAGGACTTGTGCCGGGAGCTGTACAGATAATTCAGACCTAGCCTCCCAGTGCCACCAAATTGCCTGACTACAGGAGTCCATCCACGTTGTTTTGAGTGAACAGTGTCCCCTGGAGTTTGTAATTCGGTGACTCTATCCTTGCCCTCAGGGAGGGCAATGTGACAGATGGCAAGCTGTAGGCAACCCAACCAAGGCTCGTCAGGGCCATGCTAAAGGAAAGCGGAGAGGACAGCAGGTGCCCCAAGAAGGGACCTAAACTTAATGGGAGATACCAGGAAAGGCTTTCCAAGGCTGATGTTGAAAGTGGGAAGTTCATCAGGCAGAGAAAGCAAGGGAGGACAGGTTTGAAGTGGAGTAAGTACAGCATGCACCAGTGCATGGACACAGGAAAGACATCTGAGGCTGGGGTGACGGTGATGGGGTCTTTACCTGCCTGGGTGAAGTCATAGAGAGAAAAGATTGAAGATGAAAAAGGAGGGATAGAATGAGAAGGGCCTGGATGTTTTGTTCACAAGGCTAAATTGTATCCCAAAGAAGACAGCCAGAAAGGGTACCGGGCAAGGAGGACTTGGGGTTTAAAAGGATATCTCCAGGACAGCATGGAGGTCGGGTCAGAGAGGGTAGATCAGAGACAGGAGACTTTACAGTTTAATAAACCATTCAACCTGGAGAAAGGGAGGTCGGGACTTAGGTGGCGGTGGACTAAGGACATGACAGGAGCCATAGGTTGTCAGGGAGCTGGAGCCCAAGGTACAGGATGGGAAGGCTTTGCTATGGATCCCAGCCTTTCTAGGGCTGGGTAGTGGGAACCTCCCAAAATTGGAGTTCGGGTTAGGAAATCCTCACATGCAGTTTGGGAGAGGCTCAGGAGGAGGAACCTGAGCCATGTCCTCTGTTCTGCAGTGAAAAGAAGATTAAATATGACCACTACTTGATCCCAAACGCCCTGCTGGAGCTGGCCCTGCTGCTTATGGAGCAAGACAGAAACGAAGAGGCCATCAAACTTTTGGAATCTGCCAAGTAAGGCTTGGGTAACCTCAGTCTGTCCTTTGCTCCCTCTGAACTCAGCTCAGGAGCTGGCTGGGGACAGAGTTGCCCAGAGAGCAGTGAGTGGAGTTGCTAGCAAGGCCAGTCTGGCAGTCTAGAGGGTGGACCTGTGTCCCTCGGAATCCAGCTCTCGCCTGTCATAGGAAGACTTCTTTCTTAATGTATAAATGCGCAGTTAGACTCCCAGAGGCAGGAAGTAAGTTCCCAAGGTCACATCAGAAGCCAACTGCATGGCTGTGTGAGGACCCATGCCTCCTGCCTTCCAGGGTAGGGGTCTATTCCCTAAAACCACCCCTTCAAGCTTAGGAACCCAGGAGGACCAGGAGTGGTTCCAGTGGCCATGATACCAGGGATGAGGGGCCACAAACCCTTCTGGTTAACTCTCCCATTGGGTAGGGCTCAACTCTCTCTGGACACATTAATTTCTCTACAATCCTTCCTTGGCTCGCGGGGCTCATACAGCTCAAACAGGAGGAAAAGCATCTCTGGGAGCAGGCAGCCTCATGTGTCTGATTCGCTGCTCAATTCCAGGCAAAACTACAAGAATTACTCCATGGAGTCAAGGACACACTTTCGAATCCAGGCAGCCACACTCCAAGCCAAGTCTTCCCTAGAGAACAGCAGCAGATCCATGGTCTCATCAGTGTCCTTGTAGCTTTGTGCAGCAGTTCCGGGCTGGAAGACAGAGACAGCTGGACAGAGCTCCTGAAAACATTTCAAAATACCCCCTCCCCCTGCCCTGCCCTGCCTTTGGGGTCCACCGGCACTCCAGTTGGATGGCACAACATAGTGTATCCGTGCAGAAGCCGAGCTGGCATTTTCACCAGTGTAGCCAAGGGCCTTTGCCAAGGGCAGAGCAGGTGGAGCCCTCTGCCTGCCCTATCACACATACGGGTACTTGCTTTTCACTGTGATGTTTAAGAGAATGTATGAACAGTTTACATTTTCCTTAGAAATACATTGATGGGATCACAGTTGGCTTTAAAAACCAACAACAATCAACCACCTGTAAGTCTTTGTCTTCACCTATTATCATCTGGAGGTAAATCTCTTTATATGATGATGCCAAAGGGCAAATTGCTTTTCAAATTCAGCAAGTTCTCAGCTTGTGTGACGGAAGGTCCTTCAGAGGACCTGAGGAATGCCTGGGAGAGGCTAAGCCTCAGGCTTCAATGCTTCTGGGGTTGGGCATGAGGATGTACACAGACACCCACTACCTTACTACTCACACTTCATTTCACTCCTTTTGTAAATTTCCAATTTAAAAATCAAGCACGTCTTTTTAGTGAGATAAAATCTGAGCTCTTCTGTAGAAAAATCAATCTCTACCAGTAGAAAATGCCAGGGCTTGATGGAAGAGCTGTGTAGCCCTTTCTATGCCAAAGCCAGGAAATTTGGGGGGCAGGAGGAGGTTCTCAGAATCCAGTCTGTATCTTTGCTGTATGCCAAACTGAAACCACTGGGAATAATTTATGAAACATAAAAATCTTCTGTACTTCACTCCAAGGTACATTTGCTTACTGACAGCATTTTTGTTAAAACTGTTATTCTTGACCTGTTGTGTATGCGTTAGATTCTTCAGTTAAGAGAAAAGAGATATTTAAGTGATAAAATTTATGCCCTTAAGGGATCGTGCATCATGTATTTCAATAAAATATGTGTTGCATGAATCCTTAGGCCAGGCAGAAAGTCTTGATCAGAAGCCACACGGCCTATGTATGTTTTATTTAGACCACACAATGTTTTAAACTTTTTGAATAAGTTACCAGCATTCACAAATGGGGAGATTTTACAGATGAATCTGGTTCCTGGCCTGTAATTTAAAAACAAACAAACAAAAATGGCAACATTGAGCCTCATTCCCATGAGGCAACAATCAGCTAGAGCTAAGTCCAGGCTACTTTAAACACTTCTGTTACCTTTCTGGCCCCTAAAAGCATCTGAATTTGCAACCTCTAGGATTGTTAAAGTGAGAACTCAGGTTCAATGACCAACACCAGGTTTTACTCTTCACTTTCTGATGTCAGCACACTTCAACCTAACCATTTCCCCGTAGGGAAAATCATGCACACAGTAAAAATATTCATCTGTGAAAACGTTACTCCCCAAATGCATGAATGCAGTTTCTACGAGAGAAGAACCAGTTAAACTTTCCAATCTTCTAGGATTGCTGTATTTAACAAACACGAGTATCTGCCAAGGGTCTGGGTTAATATATAAAGATCCAGTCGGTCGGGCACGATGGCTCACGCCTGTAATCCCAGCACTTTGGGAGGTTGAGGTGGGTGGATCATGAGGTCAGGAGATCGAGACCATCCTGACCAATATGGTGAAACCTCGTCTCTACTAAAAATTAAAAAATTAGCTGGGCGTGGTGGCGCATGCCTGTAGTCCCAGCTACTTGGGCAGGAGAATCGCTTGAACCCAGTAGGCAGAGGTTGCAGTGAGCTGAGATCGTGTCATTGTACTCCAGCCTGGCGACAGAGGGAGACTCCATCTCAAAAAAAAAAAAAAAAGATCCAGTTGACCAGCCTCCTATGGGTGACATCGAATGAAGTAATGGGTTTTAGGCAAAATATATTATTAGGAAAAAAAGCAAAAAAACCCTCACCCAAGATTATCTTTTCCAATGAGTATTGTCAGAGTAGAAATGCTATGAAAAAAAAATCTCTCATATTATTAGAATGAAACAAAAGAATGTCCTCCATAGAGAGTAATCCCTTTGCAAGCTATCTCTTCTCCAAAGCCTGGATGCTGGGAGACCAACCTGTTTCTAGGCTCCTGGACAGGACAGGGTGAGCGGGTAGAGACAGGCTGCAGGAGGACAGGCCTCCATGGCTTCCCCACATGTTGGAATGTTGCCTGCTGCTGTATCAAAGCAGCACTACTCACAGGACACCAAACACATACTTTGGAAAATTGCAGTTTACAAAAAAACTCATTTCGGGTGCTTTTTTTTTTTTTTTTTTTTTTGAGACAGTCTCGCTATGTCACCAGGCTGGAGTGCAGTGGCGCGATCTCAGCTCACTGCAACCTCTGCCTCCCGGGTTCAAGCAATTCTCCTGCCTCAGCCTCCTGAGTAGCTGGGATTACAGGCATGCGCCACCATGCCCAGCTAATTTTTGTATTTTTAGTAGAGATGGGGTTTCACCATGTTGGCCAGGATGGTCTCGATCTCCTGACCTCGTGATCCACCTGCCTTGGCCTTCCAAAGTGCTGGGATTACAGGCATGAGCCACCACGCCCGGCCACGGGTGCTTTCATTTTAAAATTTGGTCAAGATGATTTCCTCGTCAACATTTGCTGTTTATTTCCTCCTGGGCTTTGTTAATTAATCCTATGTCACTTTTACCTCTGCTGCCCTGATAAGATAAATCAGTGGGTTTTGCCTCCTGTACCCCACCTGCAAATTCTGAGATAATCTATCAAATATATACATATACATACATATGTGAAGGACAATGAAAACACTGGGTTTCTAACATCACCACATCCTTATGCAAGGGCGTTTTCAAGAAAGTGAAAATTCTGTCATAGGCTCTCAATGTCTTATTTGAGTCATCTGTGGTCACTGCTTCTCTAATAGTGCAGACCTTCCCAGCACATCTGCCATGGAGAGGCCACAGATCAGGTGGAAGGTTTGAGCCTGGAAATAAGGAGACCTGAATTCCAGTCCTGACTTTGCTACTGATTTTCAAAGTAACCTTGGGAAAGTCACAGATCCTCTAAAAATGAGCAATTTGGACAAGATTAAGGCTCTTTCCTGCCTTCTACAGTTTCTTTATGGGTTTTCATCTGCAAAATGAGGCAACAGATACACTTCCCTACCTTTCTGCCAAAGCCTTGTGTCCCTAAGCAATTCAACCAGAAATAATAGACTTCTTAGGGGCTCTACAGTAGCCAGAACACCCAGAGAGCAAGTAATCCTCATTTAGAGAAAGTCTAAATCCTGTGCCCCAAGATGAATTCAGTTGTTAGGGAAGTAGCAATGATGTAACATGATCTGAACAGGTCCTTGGCAACAGAAAGTCTACCTCAGCCTCTCACTGATCACAGGCCCTCAGAATGGCAGAGTGGCTTCTAGCAGTGTGCTGGGCCCTCAGCTCTCCCATGGGTTGGCAGGTTGCCCTATTCCTTATCTCTTGAGCCAGAATGGGAGTGTTTCCAAGACAGTTATCATTCACAGCAGAAAGCCACAACCTGACATCAAAGCCAGGATCCTAAAAGGCCAACACCAACTCAAGATTTGGCTGAGGTCCAGGTGGGAGATTCCCAAGTGAAGAATGGCACCAAGAGGTTTTAAGAAAGCCCCAGTGTGCTGAGTACTAGAACCATTCAAGGAATCAAATCCAGACCCTTTCCTCTGGAGTTACTCCCAAGATCATTTCTTCTAAGATGATGGGAGTCAACAGTCTTTTCCTTGTTTACTTCAAATTTAAAGCCTAACAGTGCCTTCTCAACATCCTCAGCATCATCACACTAATTCAGTAATAAATGAGAGGTGTCTGGATTCTGCAATCCAAGCAGCAAATGGGAACTTCTCACGCCCACCCTCAGATGCAGCCTTCCAAGGTCGGAAAGTGCCTTCTGCTCGGGTTAGCACGGCTCCTTTGAATTCCAGTGCAAAGTTCATTACTGATTAATAGGCTAGGTCCACAAACAAGAAACCTCATTTGGGGACTCGAAAACTCCATCTCTAAATGAGTAATCTATGACTGCTTCCACTGTATAAAGTCAACTGTTAAGTGACAAAATAAGAATAGAGCCCTTTGGGAAGACATAGAATGAACTATTGAAGGTCTCTATGGACTGTTAAAAGTTCATGTTTGGCTGGGCGTGGTGGTTCACGCCTGTAATCCCAGCACTTTGGGACGCCGAGGCAGGTGGATCACAAGGTCAGGAGATTGAGACCATCCTGGCCAACATGGTGAAACTCGGTCTCTACTACAAATACAAAAATTAAGTGGGCGTGGTGGCAGGCACCTGTAGTCCCTGCTACTCAGGAGGCTGAGGCAGAATTGCTTGAACCCGGTTGGTGGAGCTTGCAGTGAGCCGAGATCGCGCCTCTGCACTCCAGCCTGGGTGACAGAGCGAGACTCTGTCTAAAAAAGAAAAAAAAGTGGATGTTTAATCAGAGACATCACAGCTAATGTCTCACAAATGACTAGATCAGGTTTGTTTTTCTTCCTCCACATTAAACACTCCAGAACATCAGACACCAATATGCTCTGGGGAAAAGAATAAAAGCTAGTATTTATTAAATACTCATTATGTGCCAGTTGCTATTCTAAGTACTTTACATTTATTTAATCCTCATAATATTTACATAATCCTATGAAGTGGGGCCATTGTCATTTTGCAGATGGCAAAACTGAGGCACAGGTAAATAAGTTGCCTAAGATCACACAACGATTATGCAGCAGTAAGATTTGAAGACAGGCTGCTGAACTCTAAAGCCTGTACTTTGCTACACTGTTGGTCAAGCTGTAAAATCCTGTGTAAAGTTAGACCCAGCTTATACTGACTCTTGGGCCACTGTGAAAATGGAAGAAGTACTGACTAATAGCTCAACCGCTGGAGATGCTTGGCTGCAAACACATGGAGCATGTCTTTGTGGCATGGCTCCCTTTGGCACTTGGCATCATGAAGTAGGGAGAGGGCCTAACTTGCAAAAAGCCAAAAGAAAAGCAATCCTTAAACAACAGTATTTGCTCAGAAAATCATCGAGGGATGATGGAGGAAAAGGCATGATCCAATCCCCACTCAGGTAGAGTTCCAGTCAACTACTCCAGAGATGGGAAGTGAAGCCTGCACTGAGGCTTGATGCATAGCAAGTCATGTGCTAGAAGGGGCTTGGTATAAGACAATAAGAAAGAGGATCACTGGCAAACTGGGAAGCATATGATGCCAAAGGCACTAAAAACTGTTTTATAGTTTAAGCACTTATGAGTGCTTGGCTAAGCACATCACATTTGTGGGTCAAAGTGGCCCACGGGCCACAGCTTTGTCCTCCTGGTACTGAGATGACTTCCTACAGTTCTCTGGAAAAGAGGTTGTGAGCAAATTCACAGTATGAGAAAGCCTGGTTTACTAAAAATATCCAGCCTTTGTTTTTTTTTTTTTTTTTTTTTTTGAGACTGAGTTTCGCTCTTGTTGCCCAGGCTGGAGTGCAATGCCGTGATCTCGGCTCACCGCAACCTCTCTGCCTCCAGGGTTCAGGTGATTTTCCTGCCTCAGCCTCCCGAGTAGCTGGGATTATAGGCATGTGCCACCACCCCCGGCTACTTTTGTATTTTTAGCAGAGACGGGGTTTCTCCATGTCGGTCAGGCTGATCTCAAACTCCCAACCTCAGGTGATCTTCCCACCTCAGCCTCTCAGAGTGCTGGGATTACAGGCCTGAGCCACCACGCCCGGCCTACTCAACTTTTAAGTTCGATTAATTACATGGGGTAGTGGATAAAAGCACAGTATATTCAACTTAATCAAACTACTTCACCCTATTTAGAGAATCAGTTTACTCTTAGGCAAAATGGGGTTTAATGCCAACTGCTTTACAAGGGTTGTTGAGGATAAAGAGCAAGCATGTAAATAAATAGCCTAGTATGGCCCCGAGTATACCATATTCAGGTAAATTTATTGGCTTACTTCTACTGTGCGAAGGCAGTGGTGGATTTGGCCTGACGGATGACTGAATCGGGGGCGCTAGTGCCACAATTAAGCTTTCTTTATCTCTTGGCTTTTGCCCCTGTGTTAGATTCTTTTGATCTGGCTTCTCTGCATGGCAGGAGTACATGGCACTTTAGGTCTCATGTCCTTATGGCATATGGCCAGTGAAGCCAAGGGCTGCTTTTCCTAATTCCAGTATGAACAATACCAGATAAGGACAATTAGTCTGGCTTGGCTCAAATGTCCATCCCTTAGGCAAGTGCTCCTCAAAGTGTGGTCCCTGATCAGCATTAGCATCCCCTGGGAACTTGTTAGACATACAAATTCTATCCCACCTTGACCTAAAAACTGTAGGCTTGAGGCCCTGAAATCTGAGGTTTTTTTTTTGTTTTGTTTTTGTTTTTGTTTTTTTGAGACACAGTCTCCCTCTCTCATCCAGGCTGGAGTGCAGTGGTGTTATCTTGGCTCACTGCAACCTCTGCCTCCCGGCTTCAAGCAATTCTCCTGTCTCAGCTTCCCAAGTATCTGAGATTACAGGCACGTGCCACCACGCCTGGCTAATTTAGTAGAGATGTGGTTTCACCATGTTGGTCAGGCTGGTCTTGATCTCCTGACCTCAGGTGATCCTGAGGTGACATGAGCCACCATGCCCTGCCACAGTCTGAGTTTTAAAAGACCTGTAGATGGCCGGGTGCAGTGGCTCATGCCTGTAATCCCAGCACTTTGGGAGGCCGAGGCGGCTGGATCACTTGAGGTCAGGAGTTCGATACTAGCCTAGCCAACATGGTGAAACCCGTTTCTACTAAAAATACAAAAATTAGCCGAATGTGGTGGTGCATCCCTGTAATCCCAGCTACTTGGGAGGCTGAGGCATGAGAATTGCTTGAGCCTGAGAGGGTGGAGGTTGCAGTGAACCGAGATTGCGCCACTGCACTCCAGCCTGGACAACAGAGGGAGACTGTGTCTCAAAAAAAAAAAGAACTGCCGATGAATCTGATGCACACTGAAGTTCGAGACCCACTGCCCTAAAATGGCAGTGAGGTACCACAATTGGCCTACCTTCAGACATATGCTCAGTGGGGGTATTACTAAAAGGGAAGGCGGTGTATTTGACAAACAAAAACACCATAAATCCACTATTATGTCCTTTCTTTCAAAAGTTGATATACAGGAAGAATGACTTACCCCATTCCCAAGAACAGGGGAGGATGAGAACAGTGGGTGTACTGGTTAGAGACAAGGCTTATCAGAAAGCTGCATGTTCAGGCCAGCATTTTGGGAAGCTGAAACTGGTGGATAGCTTGAGCCCAGTTTGAGACCAGCCTGGGCAACACGGCAAAACTCCATCTCTACCAAAAAACACACACACATACAAAATCAGCCAGGCGTGGTAGCATGCGCCTGTGGTCCCAGCTACTTGGCAGGCTGAGGTAGGATTGCATGAGCCTGGGAGGTAGAGGTTGCAGTGAGCCAAGATTGCACCACTGCACTCCAACCTGGATGACACAGTGAGTCTCTGTCTCAAATATGAGAGAGAGAGAGAGAGAGAATTAAAGAGAAAGAAGAAAATAAAGAAGAGAAAGAAAAAGAAAAGAAAGAAACAGAGAAGAAAGAAAGAAAGAAAGAAAAAGAAAGAAGAGAAAGAGAAAGAAAGGAAGAAAGAAGCAAGCTGCACCTTCAAGGAGAGCTTTCCCTTTGTTGCCCTTCTCCTGGCCACCCTCCAAACTCTTCTTTATAAGATCCCTATTTTGCAACGGGAAACTCCTTGAGATGTTAGCTAGCTTGGATTTCTAAGGACCTCTTTTTCCCCATTTTCTCCTTCCCTTCATTTAATACATATCTGTTGAACACCTACTGTCCTGCTCTCACGGAGCTTGTTCTGAAAGTGAAGTCATAGGAGTTAACAAAGAATTAGAGCCATGGAGTAAATACACTCATCTGCCACATAACGATATTTCAGTCAATCACAGACCATATATATGACGGTGGGTTCATAAGATTATGATGGAGTTGAAAAATTCCTGCCAGGTGCAGTGGCTCACGCCTGTAAACCCAGCACTTTGGGAGGCCAAGGTGGGCGGATCACCTGAGGTCGGGAGTTCGAGACCAGCCTGACCAACATGGAGAAACCCTGTCTCTACTAAAAATACAATATTAGCCGGATGTGGTGGCACATGCCTGTAATCCCAGCTACTTGGGAGGCTGAGGCAGGAGAATCCCTTGAACCCAGAGGCAGAGGTTGCGGTGAGCCGAGATTGCACCATTGCACTCCAGCCTGGACAAGAGCGAAAGTCTGTCTCAAAAAAAAAAGAAAAGAAAAATTCCTATGCCCTAGTGATATAGCCATGGTAAGTTTGTAGGGCAACACATTACTCACGTTTGTGGTGATGTTGGTGTAAACACACCTACTGCACTGCCAATCATCAAAAAAAAATTTTTGAGACGGACTTCCGCTCTTGTCGTCCAGGCTGGAGTGCAGTGGCATGATCTCGGCACTCCAGATCATTGCAACCTTCACCTCCTGAGTTCAAGCGATCTCCCGCCTCTGCTTCCCGAGTAGCTATTACAGGCATGAGCCACCATGCCCAGCTAATTTTTGCATTTTTAGTAGAGACAGGGTTTCACCATGTTGGCTATGCTGGTCTTGAACTCCCAACCTCAGGTGATCTGCCTGCCTTGGCCACCCAAAGTGCTGGGATTACAGGCGTGAGCCACCACGCCCGGCCCAGTTGTATACAATTATAGCACATACAATTATATATGGTACATATTACAAAAGTTTAAAAGTTAAAAAATTTAGAAAGTTTATAAAAGTACAGTAAGCTGTTAATTATTGAAAAAAGAATATTTTAAATCATAAACAATGTGGCCCAGGTGTGGCGTTTATAAAGTCTACAGTAGTGTACAGTAATGTCTTAAGGGCTTCACATTCGTGCACCACTCACTCACTGATTCACCCAGAGCAACCTCCAGCCCTGCAAGCTCCCTTCATGGTAACTACAGGTATACTGTTTTATCTTTTACAGTTTTCTATGTTTAGATGCACAGATACAAGCACTGTGTTACAATTGCCCAGGATATTCAGCACAGTAACACGCTGGCCAGGTCTGTAGCCTAGGAGCAACAATACCATCTAGGTTTGTGCAAGTACATTCTATGATGTTCCATGAGGACAAAATTCCTAATTCATGCTTGTAAGTGGGATGTATCTGGTCTAGAGGATAAGAAGTCAGCTATCTGAACAATGTGGAGAAGAGAGCTGCAGGGCAGAATAGCACAAAAAGACTTGAGACAGGAAAGAACTTGCCATTTTAGAAGGCACACAGACGGCCCATGGGGCTAAATGGTTGATTCAAATGAAAAGGCAGAAAACCAACTCATCCCTGTTAAGGAGTTTGAGTTTTATGCTCCGCATTACAGGAAGCTATTAAAGTTTTTTTTGAGATGGAGTCCCACTCTGTCACCAGGCTGGAGTGTAGTGGCACAATCCCGGCTCACTGCAACCTCTGCCTCCCGGGTTCAAGCGATTCTCCTGCCTCAGCCTCCCAAGTAGCTGGGATTACAGGTGTGCGCCACTACGCCCAGCTAATTTTTGTACTTTCAATAGAGACGGGGTTTCATCATGTTGGCCAGGATGGTCTTGATCTCCTGACCTTGTGATCCGCCCGCCTCGGCCTCCCAAAGTGCTGGGATTACAGGCGTGAGCCACCACGCCCGGCCTATTAAAGTTTTAAGTAGGGAAATGACATCAATTTATTTATTCACCTTAATTTAACTGCTGTGTGAAGAATGGATTATATAGGGTTAAACATGGAAGTTAGTCTCCAGCACCAATTGCTTCTGGTTTGTCTAAACCATAAAAATGCTGCATCTTGGCCAGGCGCAGTGGCTCACACCTGTAATCCTAGCACTTTGGGAGGCTGAGGCGGGCAGATTGCCTCAGCTCAGGAGTTCGAAATCACCCTGGGCAGCACGGTGAAACTCCATCTCTACTAAAAATACAAAATTTAACTGAGCATGGTGATGTGCCCCTGTAGTCCCAGCTACTCAGGAGGCTGAGGCATGAGAATCACTTGAACCCAGGAGGCAGAGGTTACAGTGAGCCAAGATTGCACCGCTGCACTCCAGCCTGGGCAACAGAGCAAGGCTATGTCCAAAAAAAAAAAGCTGTCAATATGCTAAGTTATAATTAGGTGCTAAGACTCAATATGAGTAGGTATTTCATGTTCTTTGCTCTTCAGAAAAAATCAGAAATCCAGTTTATTAAAATCCATGCCCAGGACCAGGATTTCTTACTTCAAGTATATCTTCAAAGCCATTAACTCAAAGTTTAAGGAAGAGCCCTGAGAGCAGGACTTGCAAAAACAGCCCATCATCTGAAAATGCCTTACTAGAACAGCACCTGTCTCACAACCAGAAATAAGAATGCCGGCCGGGCGCGGTTGCTCACGCCTGTAATCCCAGCACTTTGGGAGGCCGAGGCAGGCGGATCACCTGGAGGTCAGGAGTTCGAGACCAGCCTCAACATGGAGAAACCCCGTCTCTACTAAAATAGAAAATTAGCCAGGCATGGTGGTGCATGCCTGTAATCCCAGCTACTCGGGAGGCTGAGGCAGGAGAATTGCTTGAACCTGGGAGGCGGAGGTTGCGGTGAGTCGAGATCATGCCATTGCACTCCAGCCTGGGCAACAAGAGCTAAACTCTGTCTCAAAAAAAAAAAAAAAAAAAAAGAATGCCTATGAATTATTCTTCCTCGTGTCAGGGTAACACTACAGATAGTGATGAGTGTAAGCAAGCAGCACGAAGACCAAACCTCTTCTCTTCCCACACTTTGCACACTGTGAAGTTGTAGCTGTTAACTTTTATAATGTGTTTACCCAGTTCAGCTAAGCTTTTGCATAGAGGATCATCATTCTGCATTGTTTCAAAGCTGAAGGCCTGGCTCTAATTCTGGGGTTGGCAGAATGTAGCCTATTCCTGCACCTCATTTGGATAATGCTGGAAGCCAATCTCAGTGTCTTTCTGATAGTATAGTAGTCCAGGCTTCTCAATTCACACACAATGCTTAAAACTTGCTTTTGGGTACTAACTGACCAGATTAGCTACTGTGGTGGCCTCCAGTGAGAAGTTGAACTTTTTTTGCATAGCCAACCAAATCTTCTCACAGGCATTCAGAGTACACACTGCCATGACAAGACACTTAGGGAGACCCCTTAGTATCTTCCTCAACAACTTCTTTTTCTCAGTGCTAAGAGATGTGGAGCCCACAAGCACAAATATTAGAGGAAGGGTTCAAAGCAAATAGGCGCTGCTCCTTTCATCACCATCAGTTTTAGATGCCTAAAACATGTGCCTATTGCTAACACTCCTTCATTCAAAGAGAAAAACAAACTTTCTATGGGAAGCACCTGAAGATGACTAAATGTGCCAGTGAACAGTAATTTTTCTCAAGAAACAGAAATGTAATGAAAAGGTAATCTCGACCATACTTTTATTAAAAAACTGTATGTGAAGAAACAATAAATGGCTTTAGTCAGTTAATAACATTAATCAGATGCATCCAGCTACTGTCCTAAGGCAGTGCCAGGCTGGGAGCAGTGACTCAGGCCTATAATCCCAGCACGTTGGGAGGCTGAGGCAGGAGAAGCTCTTGAGGCCAGGAGTTTCAGGCCAGCCTGGGCAACATAGTGAGACTCAGTCTCTACAAAAAAACAAAACATTAGCTGGACGTGGTTGAGCGCACCTGCAGTCAATCCCAGCTACTCGAGAGGCTGATGTGGGAAAAATCACTTGAGCGCAGGAGTCTGAACTTACGGTGAGCCATGATCAAACCACTGCACTACAGCTTGGGGGACACAGTGAGACCCTGTCTCCAAAACAAAAGCTTGTGCCTAAGTGCTCAGTGTGATAAAGCAAACAATGTGGACAATTAAAATGTGCAAATAAATCTCAAACCCTTTTTATAATTCACTGGTGCCTCTGATGGAAGAAGCTTGTAAAATCAGGAAATAGGTTGTAAAGGGACTTACTTATCTGGATGCTCTGTATCTATGCTAAAGAGCAAGGAAATAGCAAAAGGACAAATGAAGAGCAGAAAGTCTAGATAATTGTGCCTGGACAATCAATCTCTGAATAACCAACAAGTGCCCAATACTGCTTCTAATTTCTCAGGAAACAAAAAAAGAACCAAACCTGTACTTCACAAGTTTGGGAAGGGATCATCTACCAATGGTTCCAAAACCTACTAGTGCATCAGAATCACTTGGAGAACCTGTTACAAATGATAGATGGCCAGGTATAGTGACCCATACCTGTAACCCCAGTACTTTGGGAGGCTGAGGTGGGAGGATCATTGGAGCCCAGGAGTTCGAGACCAGCCTGGGCAACATGCCAAAAACTCATCTCTACAAAAAAATACAAAAATTAGCCAGGTGTGGTAGCATGTACCTGTAGTCTCAGCTCCTTGGGAAGGTCGCTTGAGCCTGGGAGGTGGAAGCAGTTGTGCCACTGCCCTCCAGCCTGGGAGATAGAGTGAGACTCTGTCTCAAAAAGTTCTGTTTCTCCTCTCTCACTCTGATATGATAGGGGTCTCCATTACTAATAAACATCCAGAGCCCTAGGTAATTGTGCTCTGGTTGTCCTGGCCTCAGAGAACTACTGATCTACCAACACTCCCATGGTGAGGAAAATGTGGCTTAAAGAGACAAAATGAGTGAGTCGAGTGAGCCATGATCACACCACTGCACTACAGCCTGGGAGATAGAGAAAGTCCGTCTCAAAAAAAAAAGTACAGAAGGACGGGTCAAATCGTCTTCTATCTCTTCCCGCCCAGTAAAAGAGCAGTTGATATTTAAAAGAAAAAATATTTTAAAAATAGAAATATAATAAAAATTAAAAAACATAGAAGTGTTTATTTAAATTCAGATAGGTAAATTTAACATTACTTGAAGAGATATTAACCTAAAATCCAACTTTTCTTGTGTCCACAAATTTTAAAATTAAGGCTTAAAAAATTAGGTGAGGTTATTACACTAAGATGCATTTACACGCAAGTTTCATCAGTTGACTCCATGACTGCTACCCACTGCTTTTGTAAGCACAGATAGCCACCAACTATTTTTGTGACTTATGCTGAAGAAACATACTTTCTCTCGTTTACCACTTCTCCAGTCTCAAGACCTTAGGTAGTTCTCCTTTTGACTACAGTATCACCCACTCTATCCATGGGGTATACTCTCCAAGAACCCCACTGCATATCTCAAACTGTGGATAGTACAACATACGTACCTACACATACATACCTATGCTAAAGTTTAATTTGTAAATCAGGCACAGTAAGAGATTAGGAACAACACTGGTAAAACAGTAAGTTTTTGTCTTTTTCTTTTTTTTTTTTTGAGGCAGAGGAGTCTCACTCTGTTATCCAGGCTGGAGTGCGGTGGTGCGATCTCGGCTCACTGCAACCTCCGCCTTGCAGGTTCAAGTGACTCTCCTGCCTCAGGCTCCCAAGTAGTTGGGATTACAAGTGTGCACCACCATGCCTGGCTAATTTTGTATTTTTAGTAGAGACGGGGTTCACCATGTTGGCCAGGCTGGTCTCAAACTCCTGACCTCAAGTGATCCAACTGCCTTGGCCTCCCGAAGTGCTGGGATTACAGGTGTGAGCCACCAGGCCCGGCCAAGATTAAGTGTTTTTTAAAAACTGTATTTACAAAAGTTGTTATAGATTGTAATAAAAGTCACGTGAGGCCAGGCGCAGTGGCCCACGCCTATAATCCCAGCACTTTGGGAGGCCGAGACAGGTGGATCACGTGAGGTCAGGAGTTCAAGACCAGCCTGACCAACACGGAGAAACCCCGTCTCTACTAAAAATACAAAATTAGCCGGGCATGGTGGCACACGCCTGTAATCCCAGCTACTCGGGAGGCTGAGGCGGGATAATTGCTTGAACCCAGGAGACAGAGGTTGCAGTGAGCCGAGATTGCGCCATTGCACTCCAGCCTGGGCAACAAGAGCGAAACTCCATCTCAAAAAAAAAAAAATTATGTAACTGTGGTATCTCACTCTCAAAATACCTTTTTGCACCATAGTGTGTGGGTATGTGAAATGGCAGAAACCGTGGATAAGGGGGATTACTGTACTTTATTAAGTGTTGCTCCTTTTTAAAAATGAATGCTTCTTTATGAAGATTTGTATGCAGGGGATCTGTTATCTCAATGCTTACTATTGCATGAAATCATACTGTTTTATATCACATGATAAACACCAATAGCAGGGGGCGAGTCTTCTAGTACCGACTGAGGAGATTCCCTATCAAGAAACTCACAGAATTTTTTAAGTTTGTGTTAGGTAAACTACAAATATCTGAAAGTATTTCAACTTGTTAGGTTTTACACTCAAAAGGATAAGATTCTTTTGTTTCTTCCTGGTTAGGCTTTTTAGAAATTTCAAATCCCACAGCCAAGCTTGGACATATCTTGCCCATATCTAAATCAAGAGATTATAGCTATTGTTTGGTTTTAGAAACTTTGGTGCTATCAAGCCTAAGTATATGATTAAATGATATTAAATGCCAAACAATAAAAAATACTTCCCACAGGTATATATAGAGAGAGAGATTTTAAAATAATCATACACAACTTTTTAAAAGATTATATGGGGAATACTTACTTATGTAATCAACTCTAACTTTAGCCCTTCACAGCTGTATTATAACTTTATTTAACAACTTAGTAAAAGTCAAAATTGATGGTTCTTAACATTGTATGTTGAGAATATAAAGTGCCTAAAAAAGACACATTCTGCCCAATGCTAGTTCTTTCAATATTACCACCAAACTTCTGTGAAAGACTTGTAATGAAAAGAAAGACTAACTGCAACATGGAAGATGATTTTTAAAAAAGTTCATTTGCCAATTTTAACAATCTAGAAAAAAAGAAAAGTCTGACTATAATACTTGATGACACAGACATTATGTTTAAGTAGAAAACACAAGAATAAAAAAAGCAATTATCAGAAAATATTGCACAACTTCAGTTGTTTCCTCCAAATTTGCTTTATGTACTTGGGTGGATATAAATTAATAAACAGAAATTTAAGCAAGATACATGTAACAATTTAACAGAACCTGATAATCTAATTTCTTTCAATTTTTCTCAAATTCATCTTTAAGTCTTTCCATCATGGGGCTCATAAGGAAATTTAAGCAACATATGGATACTACAGTTGAATGTCAAATCTTTACAAAGTACTTATGACATACTACATTCCTCTATAATGCAATTATGAATAACCTTCATGACACTGTGTTTTGTATGTAGAAAACTGTTAGAGTTCAATATTCAACTCAATATAAAATAATAATAAGAAACACTTCTGATGTTAGGTTGAGACCACTTTTCCTTTTGCTAATGAATGATTTTTTTAGCTGTAATATCACTGAGGTGAACCAATAAGTCACCTTTGAGTACATATGAAAAAATAAACACATGCTAAATGGATAAAACATTACTACTACATCTTTACTAGACCATCTCTACCTCTAACACTTCAGAAGCTTAGAGATTTAAAGTATTCTTACATTAACTGCAAGAAACAAAGGAGAAATTCCTTCTTTTTTGAGATCACAACTATGAAGTCATATGGTTATACAAATTCTGCGTTTGTGTGCAAAACATAAAATACAATTATCTTTATTCTCCCTGCTTAGTTTTGTCAGTCAGCTAGCAGGATGTAATAGATACCTTTCCAAGAAACAGAGACTGAGATGTGTTTTGTATAACTTCAATAACCTCAGCACTACAGTAATGAGAGATGCAGTATCCTTTTGCTATGGTTCAAGACAAGAGGCAAGGAGGTCAGAAGAAAGAGAATAAATCAAAATTTTTACAACTGAGTAACTATTTCTCATTAGGTCTCACCACGGTGCCACCTTCATTTTTACATAAACGTGGTGGCATAATTCAATCTCAATAAATCAGAATTCTTAATATTTAAAATTTAACTTGACTTTCCATTATCACCATATTAACAACCAAAATAATTAGATAAAACACATAGGAAAGGGTAATATTAAACCCCACCTTAATAGAGTTGGTTTCTTGACACATTAACTTATTTTTTATAGAAAAGGGATAGTGCATCTCAGTTTGCTTACAAGCTAGGAGATCACTTTGAATTCTGCATTTCCTAACTGCAAACAGAATATAGCACTTATAACAGGTTATAAATAAACTGGTTTTCAAGCATAGAGCCAGCCCCAACGATAATAATACACTATTTAAAAAGACCTAAGGCAATGAATTCCATTTCCAATGGAAAAAAAGAACTGTGCAAACAAGCTTAAAACTACTTTTTTGTGTGTGCCAGTGTTATAAAATGTAGCTTTTAATAAAACCTTGACCCAAATGCCAGCAACTTCAGAAAAGAATTCGGGTGGGGAAGGGGAAGAGAAGAAAGTTATTTCATTTAGGAAAAATAACTACTATCTTTTTCCTAATCTTCAATACACACAATTTAAACAAATACAGCTGCTGTTAACACTTTACACAATTCCTATGTACTGGAGCAATAACAAGATCTAAATACAATTATATTTTTAAACATTGGGTCAAGGCTTTACATAAAAATACCATCCTACTTTTCCCACTAAGTTTCTAAAATATCACGTACTTTTTCCCCCAACATCTGCAGCCATCCAGGAATTTTAAGGAAACTTTTGTGCACGATCTTAATTCCTAATCCCTGGCTCTTTGGGCTCAGTGACAAAAGATCAAAACCACCAAAATGGTGGTTCACTTGAAGTCAGATAAGAGACCCTGGCTCAATTAGTCTCATAGGATGAAAGCAGTGCTGCATCAACTGGCTCCATGCAGGAGGGGCACGTGAAGGATCTCATCAACCAGTCATCTATACAGTCCAGGTGATAGATGTGCATGCACGGCAGAAATCGAATTGGGTCCCCATAAACAAAGTCCATCATACAGATCACACACCTGTTGAGAGCAATGGAGAGAAATCAGAAGGCATTTTCAGAAGTGTCCTATTCAGAAAACTCTTTAAATCCCATTAAAGACAGTGTTAATCTGAGTAACACATCAGAATGCTTTGCCTGTCATCTTATTGCCAAAGCATGCAAACTGAATTTTTTCCTAATGTTGATCTGTCCACAGTCTCTTATTTCAATCCCCTGAGAATTTGCAGGACTTAGGAGCAATCAACAGAGCAAAGAGAAATGGATTACATATGCATCAAATCTACTGCTGTGCTTGTAAACAGCTACATATTATAGCAGATACCTGAAGGAGAATGGGATTATTTTAGGTAGAAAAGCATCAGTTAGATCAACTTTGTTTTCTTGCACTATTTAGTGTAATCCTGGACTAAGACAATTTTCATTTTAGTAACTGTAAAACAGAAACACTAACTTCGGGCAACTTTGTTTCCTTGTGCTATTTAGAGTAATCCTAGAGTAAGATAATTTTCATTTTAATAACTGTAAAAACAGAAACACTAACTTCAGCCTACTTACTGGGTTGCTGTAAGTTAAAGCTCTCTTCATTAACACTAACTTTCTCTTATTTTACTTTATTTTACTTTTTGAGACAGAGTTTCAAGTGATTCTCCCACCTCAGCCTCCCAAGTGGTTGGGATTACAGGCGCGTGCCACCATGCCTGGCTAATTTTCGTATTTTCAGTAGAGATGAGGTTTCACCATGTTGGCCAGGTTGGTCTCGAACTCCTGGCCTCAAGTGATCCCCCGACCTCAGCCTCCCAAAGTGCTGGGATTACAGGCATAAGCCACTGTGCTCGGCCTGTGAAAATTCTTAATTACTACATAACATTCTCTTGCTAGTAGCCAGTAATAGAGCTATGAAAAAAAATTAAACATTCTCTTGCATTAAGCGAAGTGTTTCAATATATTAAATGTCTGACTTTCTAAAGTGCAGGAGAAAAGGCAAATTTTTCAAAAGCAATCTGAAAATAAAACTTTGAAATGTACAAATTAATTAAAACTTACTCCCGGATCTTTTTTTCTGATCCATCTCTTCCAGGGTCATAAACTCCTTTAGGCAGATGTTGTATAAGACCTATTCTTTGAGCTATCCTAATTTGTTCCTCTTCAGTCAGCTGAGTTGCTAGCCGAGTCTGGCTAGGTGTTGGGTGGTAGACTGGAACTGGAACTTGTTCCTAAAATATTAAAATATAGAGGAAAAAGATTATTTTTTAAAAACCTTTCGAGGGCTTATTTTTTGGTCAGAGATAGAAGGGAAAGGGAGCCCTGGGAGGGGTAGGAAGCTGGGCTAGTGTTTGGCTGTATGACTGTGTTTCACCCTGCCTTAACTTCAGCTACTAGAATAAAACATACACACACCAAAACATTCTCATTCTGCCTAAAGGATATAAACACAGACTTCACTGAACTGGCATGGAATGTTAAATGAACTATTTCCACATGATAAGAGACCAGCCTGGACAACATAGCAAGACCTCATCTCTAAAAATAATTTTTAAAACTTTTTAAATGGACTGGACTATGGCAAAAATAAATCTAAAAGTTATCTAAGACTAACTTTCCCATTTCATAGGACCAAGCTTGCCTACAGTCACTAATTGACAATACTGAAATTAGAATTCTGCTGCTCCTAATCCAACTGATTTTTTACACAACAAAACAATTCAAAGGAATCGTGTGTATAACCCCCACCTTTTTTTGAGATAGGGTCTCCCTCTGTTGCCCAGGCTTAAGTGCAGTGGCACAAACACAACTTACTGTAAACTCAACCCCCTGGGCTCAAGCAATCCTCCAACCTCAGCCTCCTGAGTAGTGGGGCCACAGGGTTGAGCCATGGTGCCTGGCCTATAATAATATTTAAAACTGAGCAACTCTGATGGAATGAAGCTGGGATGGAGTGTGGCCTAGAAGGGATGAGGCTCCCCATCCCCAAGCCCTCACCTTGGTTACCTTTGCAGAATCCTCAGAATCAACAGAGCAGTCTGAAAAACACTACTATCTCAGAAGATGAGATTTTCAGTCTGAAGAATTAAATTATAAGATTTCAGTCTCAGCTCGGCTACTTACTGTGATTGCTTGGACCAAGTCTCTTAATGTCTTTGAATAAAGCAGATAACAGTACCCACTTTAAAGAGTTGATATAATCATGAGATAACTAAGAGCTTTGTAAATGCCAATATTTGTAAATTATTCTAACATCTCCCCAACGTCATGATTCTCCCCATCATGATTCTCTGCTTTGCAGACTTTAAGCTAAGTGCTACTGTCCTTGGCTTTGGTCCTGGCTTTCTGGCTTCTCTTTGAATACTACAAACTCTTGGACTCTGTTGTGATCTCTGCCAGCTCTGAGTTCTTCAACCCTTGAATTACCATTTCCAGTCTAAATTACCTTCCTGAATCTTAGCCTCAGTCCTAGTTGACCAGTTTTGATGAGCTGTCATCCACACGCAAACTGGGAACAAATTGGTTTAAGACTAAGATAATATAAAGGGTCTCTTAAATCCTTGAACCTAACAAACAAAAATAACTAAATTGTTTTAGAGAAAATAAACTCCAACTATGGGTTTTTCAGAGGCTAGATTTCTTCAGTCTTGTGGTTCACATACGTGTAGAGAACACAGAAAGCAGAACAGAAAAGGAAAGTTCTACTTTACGGGGAAACATTAATAAACATTAAAGAAGAAAATAAAAACTATATTTTAATTCACGTTATGAGTGTATTTTCTCCTTTGGTATTTTTTTGTTAAAACAAAGGAACCCTCTCTATATCTTTTAGATATTTAAAATGATTGAACAATCTAATTTCAGTTTACATGGTTCAGAAAACCATAGAGGAAAGGAAATGACTAAGACCTCCTGATATTTTAAAGATGAATGTGGCCTCACCCTTCTTACCACACATGCCTAATTTTAAATTTTAATTCCCATGATACTTGTTTTAAAATGGCTTGATATCTGAGTTATCAATTGTTTCATAACTAGACAGCCACTGATTTTCTAGGCAGCAAAATGGAATCCTGATTCAATTGTTGGCTAACAGACACTGAGTGAGTAGAAGATTAGACAGGGGTATAAAAACAACAATTTTAAAAGATGTGATGGCTGGGCATGGTAGCTCATGCGTGTAATCCCAGAACTTTGAAAGGCCGAGGCAGGCGTATCACCTGAGGTCAGGAGTTCGAGACCAGCCTGGCCAACATGGTAAAACACCATCTCTACTAAAAATACTAAAATTAGCTGGGCGTGGTGGTGCACGCCTGTAATCCCAGCTACTCAGTAAGCTGAGGCAAGAGAACTGCTTTAACCCGGGAGGCAGAGGTTGCAGTGAGCCAAGATCTTGCCACTGTACTCTAGCCTGGGCAACAGAGAGAGACTCCATCTTAACAACAAAAAAAGATATGGATTTGGGGGTGGTTCCCACCATTCCCTATCTGCGAACACTATATGGTTTATGTTCAACACCTGCTTCCCCTCTGAGAATCAGGAATTTTGTCATATGCTAGGCAGTGGGTGCCTAATCAGTACCTGGGGCACTGAGTCTCCAAATGAGCTTCTCTGGCAGAAAACCTTTCATATATGTTGAAGGAATTAAGCATGTCCTGTGTGACTCCACTAGGAGATAACTCTTGGAAGCTTGTGCTTAGTTCCCTTTAGACCAAAGCACCTTTCCCCTTAGCTGATTTTGCTTTGATTCTTTGCTGTAACAAATCATAGATGTGAGTAAGATTATATACTAAGTCCTAAGAGCCCTCCTATTGAATCACCAAACCTGGGGACTGTTTTGAGGACCTCCAACGCCAGTGCTAGGTTGTGCTCCCACTTTATATTTGCAAAGCTACTGTGTTTCGTCCCCAGCTGAAAACAAATGAAAAATAAATAAATATTTTGATTAGCCTATTTCAGGGCCTAAATATGGACCTAATGACAAAAGGTATACAAACACATCTCACTGCAACCTCCAACTTCTAGGCTCAAGTAATCCTCCCACTGCAGCCTCCCCAGTAGCTGGGATTACAGGTACACAACACCATGCCCAGCAATTTTTTTGTTTTGGTAGAAACAGTGTCTCGCTGACCAGGCTGACCAAACTCCTGGCCTCAAGCGATCCTCTAGCCTTGGCCTCCCAAAGTGCTGAGATTACAGGTGAGAGCCACTGTGTCCGGGCTATGTGGGTAGTCTGATAAGGGCAGGGGCTATGTCTGTTTTGCTTACCAATGTTTACTACCTACTCAGCACGGTATCTGGCACACAGTTGGGACTCAACATAATTATATAACTGAATAACCTAAATCAAAGCACTTATGTTCTTGTAATATACATTATATACATATTAGAACTTTGTAGATATGCTATGAAAAATTGCTAATGCGCCTGGCACAGTGGCTCACGCCTGTAATCCTTGCAGTTTGGAAGGCCAAGACAGGCGGATAGCTTGAGCTCAGGAGTTTGAGACCAGCCTGGGCAACATGGTGAAACCCCGTCTCTATAAAAGATACAAAAATTAGCCAGAAGTGGTGATGTACACCTGTAGTCCCAGCTACCTCGGGGACTGAGGCAGCAGGATCGCTTGAGCCCAGGAGGTTGAGCTACAGTGAGACGAGATCACACCACTACACTCCAGACTGGGTGACAAAGTGAAAGAAAAAGAAAAAAGAAAAACTGCTAATGATTTGGATTAAATAACAATAAGAAAAAGAAAAACTGCTGTCTCAAAAAGAAAAAAAAAAGAAAAACTGCTAATGATTTGGATTAAATAACAATAAAACCAAAAAGGAAAACTTGATATAAATTACACCCAACATTCTCCCAAGTGAAAATACCTGGGTTGTTGTCTCTTTCAAAACTCCACCTACCCATCCCACAGGAACTTCAATAGGTCCAAAACCAAACCAAATATACTTCCTTCCACATGCCTCTCAAACTCAGAATTTCTATGCCCCCTACCTAGGTTAATGAACAAAAATACATAATGGAAAGAGTACAGGCATTCCCTGGAATTTCTGCTCTGGTATTTAATTATGTATGTGGCCTTACGCAAGCTTCTTAATATCTCTGAGCATTAAGGTTCCTCATCAGCATAACAGACAAAATACCTATCTTAATAAAGGGTTGGAGGCCAGATGCAGTCATTTAGCTCTGTTATCCCAGCTACTCTGGAGGCTGCGACATGAGAATTGCTTGAACCTGGGAGGCGGAGGTTGCAGTGAGCTGAGATCACGCCACTGCACTCCAGCCTGGCCCACAGAGCTAGACTCTGTTAAAAAAAAAAAAAAAAAAGTATTGTAAGGAATAAGCAGATAAGTAAAGCACTTACCAAGATAAGGGCTTACTTAATATATGGGCTCTTCTCTAATGACACCACTAGTCACTGGAGATAGACATCTCATCCTTCCTGATTCCTCTGACTTCCTCTCTTCCCTTTTCCACTATCATCTACTTAAATGTCTTATACAGTCTTACCTAACTACCATTTCCTCGTTGTTGATTAGGAGACACATGGGCTTGCCCTGTGAGTTTAAATTTCAAGATGGAATTCACAGAGAAGCAAATTTCAAATAAATTTAAACAATCTTTTCCTTAATACTTTCTTTAGTTCTCCATATGTCTGCATGCAAAAGAGAGAAAGAGCGAGAATCCAAAGGAAATCATCTGCCTTTAAGAAAAGGAGAAAAGGAATAATTTAAAATTAAAATATGCATTGTGGAAAAATGCAGCAGCATGGAAGGGGGTAGAATAGAAATGGAAGACAGGGTTATAAAATATGCTGAAGCAGGACAGAAGATACAGTCTTTTTTTTTTTTTTTTTGGAGACAGGGTCTCACTCTGTCACCCAGGCTGGAATGCAGTGGCGCGATCTTGGCTCACTACAACCTCCACCTCCCAGGTTCAAGCAATTCTCCCACCTCAACCTCGAGTAGCTGGGAGTACAGGCACGCGCCACCACGCCCAGCTAATTTTTTTATTTTTAGTAGAGACAGGGTTTCACCATGTTGGCCAGGCTGGTCTCGAATCCTGGCCTCAAGTGATCCACCTGCCTTGGCCTCCCAAAGTGTTGGGATTACAGGTGTGATACAGGTGTGAGCCACTGCACCCGGCCAGAAGATAGGGTCAAACATCAAAAACAGCAAGGTCTGATCTGATGCGAAAAATCTCTGAAGCATTCCGGTTGTTTGTTAATATATAAATGAAGCACCTATAAAATGATGGATGTTGTCAAGAATGTATCGGGCCCTAATCTTAGGTGGTTTAAGCCAAGAAAGACACAAAACAGGTGAATGTAAAACGTGTCTGTCTGAAGGGCACTACATTAAAAGTTGGATTCAATTTAGGGAATGTGATACAATTTCAGAAACGAAAACAATGCAGTGGGGAAGTGCCTAAATAATGTGCTGAGGCTGGAAATAGCACAAGTCTGGTTTGTGGTGAAGGAAAAATAAAGTCACTGCTAAAGCATGCAGCTTGTCACCAAAAGCGGTATCTTTTCCTCCAGTAGGAAATAAGAGCCAGCTCTTCTGATCCTTCTCTTTATATCCTTACAAGCTGCTGCTGGCACCACCTTCTTCCCAGCTGCAGTCTCCTACTGGGAAATGTTTTCTCTGAATTTTGCCAGACTGACATTTAAGACCATAAAATGGAGGATTTAGAATAGTTGGTCTCAATGTATGTTCTACTTCTGATGTTCCATGAAATCTTGACCAAAACAAAAACCCCCAGATTAGCACTGATGCAGTTCCTGAACAATTACACAGAGAGATGTAAAAGCTAGCATCACATCTATCTTCCTGATAAATGTGTGTGTGTGTGTGTGTGTGTATATATATATATATATATATATATATATATTTTTTTTTTTTTTTTTTTTTTTTTTTTTGAGATAGGGTCTCATTCTGTTACCTAGGCTAGAGTGCAGTGGCACAATCTTGGCTCACTGCAGCCTTGACGACCCCCCGGGCTCAAGTGATCCTCCCACTTCAGTCTCCTGAGTAGCTGGGACTACAGGCCCATGCTACTATGCCCCGCTAATTAAAAATATACATTTTGTAGAGACAGGTTTTCACTATGTTGCCCAGGCTGGTCTAGAATTCCTGGGCTCAAGCAATCCTCCTGCCTTGGCCTTCCAAAGTGCTGGGATCCCAGGAGTGAGCAGCCAAGCCTAGCCTTAAAAAGCACATCTCAGCACTGAGGAAATACAGTATCACGATAAGGTGAAAGGCTTCCATTAACTGTAACACCTTAGAGATATAATTCACATTCTATTTCCCTATTTAAAATACACACTTCAATGGTTTCCAGTGTGTTCAGAGCTATGCAACCATCACTTATCAATTTTAGAACATTTTCATTACCCCCAAAAGAAAGTGTACTCATTAACAGTCACTCCCCCAAACTCCCCGGCCCTAGGCTACTACTAACTAATTTGCTTTTTGTCTCTATAGATTTGCCTATTCTGGGCATTTCATAGATAAGCATTATTCAGATGTGTGGGTTTCGTTCCAGACCACCCTAATAAAACTGATCACAGATCACTGTAAAAGATATAATGAAAGAGTCTGAAAGCACGAGAATTACCAAATGTAGCAGAGAAATGAAATGAGCTGCTGGGAAAATGGTGCCAAAAGAATTGTTTCATGCAGAGCTGCCACAAACCTTCAAGTTGTGTAAACACACACACACACACAACCCTGTGAAGTGCAATAAAACAAGGTATGCCTGTGTATGGAATCATACTAATATGTGGTCTTTTGTGGCTCGACTTTCACTTAGCATGTTTTCAAAGTTCACCCATGATGCAGCATTTATCAGAATTGCATTCCTTTTTATCACTGAATAGTCCACCACCATTTTGTTTAGTCACTGATGGACATGGGTTGTTTCTACTTGTTAGCTACTGTGAATAACAGTGTTATGAAAATACATGTATAAGTTTTTGTACATGTTTTCATTTTATTGGGTATATAAACCAATGAATGGAACTCTGCAAAACCTTTTGTAGAACTGCCAAACTTTTCCAAAGCACCTGCACCATCTTACAATCCCATCGAGAGCTGTATTGGTAAGTGATGGTTGTGTAACTCTGAACACACTGGAAATCAATGAAGTGTGCATTTTAAAAAGGGAAATAGAATGTTCCAGTTTCTCTACAGCATTGCTTAAACTTAATCTTTTTATTATAACCATTCAAGTGGATAAGATGTGATATCTCATTGTGATTTTGATTTGCCCTCTCTGATAGCAAATTATCTTTTTGTTATCTCCTGGACACAAGTCCCTTAGCAGACCAATGATTTACAAGTATTTTCTTCGAGAGGCTGAGGCAGGCAGATCACCTGAGGTCAGGAGTTCAAGACCAGCCTGGCCAACATGGTCAAACCTTGTCTCTACTAAAAATACAAAAAAAAAAAAAAAAAAAAAAAAGATTAGCAGGCGGTGGTAGTGCACACCTGTAATCCCAACTACTTGGGAGGCTGACGCACAAGAACTGCTTGAACCTGGGAGGTGGCATTGCAATAAGCCAAGATTGTGCTGCTGCACTCCAGTCTAGATGACAGAGGGAGACTCTGTCTCAAACAAACAAACAAACAAAAAAAAGCCCAAATATTTTCTTGCATCCTATGGGTTATCTTTTCACTTTCTTTACGTTATTTGAAGAACAAATTTTAAATTTTAATGAAATTCAACTTTGGTTACTTTTACTTTCAGTATCCTAAGAAGTTTGTCAAACCCAAGGTCATGAGCATTTGCTCCTATATCTTCTAAGAGGTTTATAAAGTTTTAGCTCTTACATTTAGGTGTATGAACCATTCTGAGTTAATTTTTGCATATAGTAAGAAAGGGGCCCAACTTCACTTAACTATGTGGTTATATGTAGGTGTCCCAGCATCATCCGTTAAAAATTGTTTTGGGGCCAAGTGCAGTGGCTCACACCCGCAATCCCAGCCTGGGCAACATGGCGAAACCCCATCCCTACAAAAATTAGCCAGGAGTGGTGGTACATGCCTGTAGCCTCAGGCTACTAGGGAGGCCAAGGCGGGTGGATCACCTGAGACCAGGAGTTCGAGACCAGCCTGGCCAACATAGTGAAACTCCATCTCTACTAAAACAGAAAAAATTAGCTGGGGGTGGTGGTATGTGCCTGTAATCCCAGCTGCTCGGGAGTCTGAGGCAGGAGAATCGCTTGAACCGGAGAGACGGAGGTTGCAGTGAGCCGAGACTGCTGGGATTACAGGCATGAGCCATAGCAACGAGCCGTGAAATTTTTATTTAAAAATCTTATCACAGGCTGAGCGTGGTGGCAGGTGCCTGTAGTCCCAGCTACTCCGGAGGCTGAGGCAGGAGAATGGTGTGAACCCGGGAGGACGAGCTTGCAGTAAGCTGAGATCGTGCCACTGCACTCCAGCCTGGGCAACAGAGCAAGACTCCGTCTCAAGAAAAAAAAAAAAAAATCTTATCACAGACAGGGCGTGGTGGGAGGCTGAGGCAGGAGAATCACTTGAACCTGGGAGGTGGAGGTTGCAGTGAGCTGAGATCGTGCCACTGCACTCCATCCTGGGCAACAGAGCAAGACTCCATATATATTTGGGCCCATTTCATGCTGCAAATCTTAATTACGTCTGACAATTTACCTAAATATTCCAACAGCAAAATTCAACTGAATTACAATACCACATACCTATCAGAACTCTGTGACTCAGAGTTCAGAACTCTCAAAAGGCTTTGTGGTTTCTGGCAGCAATGACAGGAGCTCACTCTGGGATTGCCTCTCACGGATTCTTAACACTTTTTTTTTTTGCCATGGAAACCTTATGCAGTCCAATGAAAGCTATTTCAGATAACGTTTTTGAATAAAACACATAAGATTACTAAGGAAATCAATCACACTGAAAGCAGTTCTATCCCTGACCTTAAAGGGTCTGTGGATCTCAATTTTAGTACTCCTCAATCTAAAGATTACTTTGAGATTAAGAACTTAGATCTTACAGAGTTCATTAAAACATGTTTTAAGGGAGAAACATTTTTGAGAAACAAAATCTAGGGATGAGAAAAAAGTCCAGATAATTAAACACAGAGGAGGTGGTGAGGTATATGTGAAAAAGGAATGATAAGCTTACATCAACATTAAAGGTTCTTTCTTTCGATTCTCATGTGCATGTGAATTTCCCGCTAAAACTGACTTTATTAAGCAAATTTGTTCCAAACTTTAAAAAATTTTTAACTTAAAAAAATATAAAGTACCTATGTATCTAAACCCCAGAATAGTTTATTCACAAGTGAAAATGCAACTTAACTGCCACTGCCTCTGGGATCTCTCTATTGGGAGTTGCTAGAAAATACTGTGATGAGCTTGAGTATCTGGTTTTCCAACATGCCAAATTATTAGAAGTAGGAAGAGGTAGTTTAAGGGCAGACACACTAACAGCAGATGAAGAACTGACAATGAGGAAAAAAAAATCAATAAAAAGTAGGTGCAAGAATCCAAAAGCCTAACAGCTTTCACCCACTAACACAATTGTCCTACATAATTAAAGACTCTGGATGCACTATTCTGTTACCTCCAGGGTATAATAACGTATCTAATAATAATTTTGAATCAGTAAGATAAAATGACAATGTGCTCAGAAGTCATTTCAGTGATTTCTGGGGAAGGGAGTGAAGTTGAAAAGGGAGAAGGTGTGAAAGTTTGAAAGAGGGCCAGGTTGAGAATCAGTCTGAGAATGAAAACACCCAAAACTGAATATTAACGCTTTACAAAAACACACCCTAAAAAATTTTAATTAAAGAGAGACAAACAGACATGAGCCTATTTAGAAAATCCCAAGGACTCTAACCAAAACCTCCTAAAATGAATTCAGCAAGGTTGCAGGTTAAAAGAACACACATAAATTAATTGTATTTGTAAATACCAGCAATGAACTGGAAGCCAAAATAAAAAGTTTGAACACCATTTACGATACCAAAAAACTGAAATGTTTAAAGGTATAAATTTATCTTGTGCAGGATCCGTATGTTAAAAACTAATTCACAAAAAAATTAACAGATCAACAATGGGCCTCAGCCAATTAACTAAACTTACAAACTCCTAATTCATAGGACCTAACACCACCTTGCAAACAGGGGTACATCATAAAAATCTAAACAATCCACAAAGTAATATCATTTCTGCTTTTAGGGGCTTTTAAGACTACAACTATTGATGGCCTTGAATTGCTACATAAAATTAAAAGCACAAAGAGAATGCGATAAGTTTAGTGTTTCTGAAATCTTTCTAACGTCTTCTCCTACATACGCTATTTGATCATGAACTTATTAACTCTTTGACAACAGAAAATATTCAATTACTGATTGACTTAAACTTTGACCTACACTCCTCACCAATCTTTAATTCACTGAAGTGCTTTAGAAAAGAACAGGAAAAGGTTTCTGTTACTTAAAAAGATTTGTTCCAGTGGTGGTATAATCATTGCTTTCATGACCAAAAATCAAAACATATTTAAGAGGTAGTCTAGGAAATTTTAGAAGCTTAAATACAGGAATTTCTATAACATGTAAGAGATTTACAGTGATAATGGATCAAAACATTTAACATGAGAATTTTTGCAGGAAAATCAGGATGGATGAGAAGCTGCATTATACAACATTTTTTAAAAACCCTAATTTATTCTTTCAGCAGAGTGCCACTGTGTGTCAGATACTGTGCTAAATATTTCCACGCCTTAAATTCATTTATCTTTGCAACCATTTGAAAAAGTTGCAATAACCTCCACTTTTCAGTTGAAGAAACAAACTTAATTAAGGACCTAACTGAGGTTAGAGAGGAAAAGGGGCTTGCTTAGTGAAGGGCTTCTCAACCTGGGCAATACTGACATTTTAGTAAGACAATTCTTTGTTGTAGGGGCTGTCCTGTACATCACAGGGTGTTTGGCAGTTCTCTCCATCCACTAGATGCCAGTGGCACCCTCTTCCCTGCCACATTGTGACAACCAAAAAATGTCTCTAGACTTTGCTAAACGTTTCCTGGAGAGCAAATTCATCCTGGTTGAGAACCACTGGCTTAGGATCTTACAGTAAACAGGACAAAACAAGGCTGGATAGTTTCTGGTGTTACAAGAAAGCCATAAAGGATGGGATACATGTCCTTTTTCTGGTAGTTTTTTGAACAAGGCCTCCAGTTGTCACATGAAAATGGGGTGGGGAGTGGTGCAAACGCTAAATATACAAAGGCCCAGTGGACATAATACTAAATAAAACACATCCACATTACACTGAAATGAGCCTTAATTGATAGGAATTGGTGCCTTAGTAATAACTACACTATAAATTCAAGAGAGAAACGTTAGACAGAGAGCACAGATTGCCTATCAGGGAGATTGGCAAAAGAAAGGAAATCACCAACTGAGAATAGAAAAGAAGACACGGGGACACTAAAAACATTTTATTAACTCGAGAAATTTGCTGAGGCAGGGCTGTTTACTTCCAAATGAAAAAAGAGATGTTATACATATGGGTATTTCTGATAATTTATGTGCCATATGTTGTGCCTACCTTTAGGATTTATGAAACATTTTTAGAAGACCCATTTCATTTTAAAGAAGTCTCATTACTTCAAGTATCACTGTATAACCTACTTAATTCCAGTATCTCATTCCTCTCCTGGACTCTACTGGAAATGAACTCCTAGAGGCTCCTGTGACTGCCTTTGAGCCAAATCTAGTGTATTATATAACATTTTCTGCCTCACTGTGCAGTTATCCCTATTGTTTAAATGCATTTCTCCTAGTTGCCCTGCTCTACTGCCCAACCTATTTCTGCATCTTTAAAATGAAGAGGATCTCCAGCAGTCCCCACTTATTGCAAGGTTTCAGTTAACTGTGGTCAACCATGGTCTGAAAATACTATATGGAAAATTCCAGAAATAAACAACTAATGTTGTAAATTGCGTGCCATTCCGATTATCACTGATCACTAGAGAAATGCAAATTGGCTGGGTGCAGTGGCTCACACCCGTAATCCCAGCACTTTAGGAGGCCAAGGCAGGCGGATCACCTGAGGTCAGGAGTTCGAGGCCAGCCTGGGCAACATGGTGAAACTCCATCTCTACTACAAATGCAAAAATTAGTTGGGCATGGTGGTGGGTGCCTATAATCCCAGCTACTCGGGAGGCTGAGGCAGGAGAACTGCTTGACCCTGGGAGGCGGAGGTTTCAGTGAGCCAAGATTGCACCACTGTACTCCAGCCTGAGCATCAGCAACAGACTTTGTCTCAAAAAAAAAAAAAAAAAAGAAAAGAAAAGAAAAGAAATAAGAAGAGAAATGCAAATCAAAAACCACAATGAGATACCATCTCATCAGTCAGAATGGCTATTATTAAAAAGTCAAGGCTGGGCACAGTAGCTCACGCCTGTAATCCCAGCACTTTGGGAGGCTGAGGCAGGCGGATCACTTGAGGCTAGGATCTTGAGACCAGCCTGGGCAATGTGGCGAAACCCCATCTCTACAAAAAATACAAAAATTAGTCGGGCATGGTGGTGTACATCTGTAATCCCAGCTGCTCGAGAGAGGCTGAGGCACAAGAATAGCTTGAATCGGAGGGGGCAGAGGTTGCAGTGAGCTGAGATTGTGCCATTGTATTCCATTCTGGTCCGCAGAGCAAGACTATCTCCAAAACAAAAAAACAAACAAAAAATGTAAATAAAAAATAAAGAAAATTAAAATAAAAACTCCAAGTGGACCCAATTGGGGCCACCACACTTTTGTGAATTTTACCTCCAAAACCTCTACCAGGTCCTCACGTGAGTGCTTCCAGGAGGCGGAGAGGAAAATAAACCATTTTAAATATGCCAGAGCATTCTGCTCCTAATAAGTCTTATCCTCATGCGAAACTTTTAATTTAATATAAAGTTCTGGGAGAAACTTTTACCAGAGCTTAACCTACCTGGGGAAAGAGAACTACCCAACTCCAGCCCCTCCAGCCATCCTGTCCCAGATAAGGTGGGTGGGAGGTACTGAGAAGCACTGAGAACTGCAAATTAAAACAAAAAATACCACACACACCTATCAGAATGGTGAAAATCCAAAACACTGACATTAAGTCCTGGCAAGGATGTGTGGTAACAGAAACTCTCATTTACTGCTGGTGGGAATGCAAAATGGTATGCTTTGCGACCAGGCACGGTGGCTCACGCCAGTAATCCCAGCACTTTGGAAAGCCAAGGCGGGAGGATCACCTGAGGTCAGGAGTTTGAAACCAGCCTGGCCAACATGGTGAAACCCCGTCTCTACTAAAAATGCAAAAATTAGCTGGGCATGGTGGCACGTGCCTGTAATCCAAGCTACTCGGGAGGCTAAGGCACGAGAATCGCTTGAGCCAGGGAGGTGGAGGTTGTGGTGAGCTGAGATCACGCCATACTGTACTCCAGCCTGGGTGACAGCGAGACTCCATCTCAAAAAACAATAACAACAACAACAACAACAAAAATGGTATGCTTAGGGTGACAGTTTGATAATTCTCACACAACTAAACATATTATTACCATTTGATCCAGCAATTGCACCCTTTGGTATTTACCCAAAGGAGTTGAAAAATACATCCAACCAAAACCCAGAAACAAATGTTTACAGGAGCTTTATTCATGACTATCGAAATGTGGAAGTAACTATGGTGTCCTTCGATAGGTAAATAGATAAACTACAGTATATCAATGCAAATGGAATGTTATTCAGCACTAAAAAATAAATGAGCTATCAAGCCATGAAAAACATGGAGGAACTTTAAATACATATTACTACATGAAAGAAGCCAATCTGAAAAGGCTACATACTGTATGATTCCAAATATGCAACATTCTGCAAATGGCAAAACTATGGAGACAATAGAACCATCAGTGGTTGTCAGGTGTTGGGGGGAGGGATGAACAGATGGAACACGGAAAATTTTTAGAGCAGTAAAACTACACGTATGATACTATAATGGTGGATGCATGTCATTATACATGGCAAATCCATGTACAACACCAAGAATGAACTCTAAGATAAACAGTGGGTTTGGGGTGATAATGTTTTGGCAATCGTTGAATATTTCAATGTGGGTTCATTAAAAAAAATTAAATGTAGCTCTATCAAAATTCTAGCTGGCTCATTTGCAGAAATTGACAGTTGATCCTAAAATTCACATGGAAATACAAGGGACTAAGAATAGCCATAACAATCCTGAAAAGGGAGAACAACAACAACAAAAAAGACTCACACTTTCTGATTTCAAACCTTACTTATAAAGCTACAGTACAGTACTAGCCTAAGGACAGACATATAGACCAATGGAACAGAAGAGTCCAGAGATGTACTCTCATATTTATAGACAACTGATCTTTGGCAAGAATACCAAGATAATTCAATGAGAAAAGAAAACTATTTTCAACAAATGGTGCTGGAACATCAGGCTAGTCACATGCAGAAGAATCAAGTTTGACCCCCTCCTTGAACATACCAAAAGCTCCCCAAAGAAAAAAATAGACAAACTGGTTTTTATCAGGATTAATCACTTTTGTGCTTCCAAAAACACCAGCAAGAAAGTGAAACACAGCTGGGTGCAGTCGCCCACGCCTGTAATCCCAACACTTTGGGAAGCCAAGGTAGAATTGCTTAAGCCCAGGAATTCAAAGCCAGCCTGGGAAAAAGAGTGAGACCTTGTCTCTGCCAAAAAGACAAAAATTAGCCAGGTGTGGTGGCATGCACCTCTAGTCCCAGCTACTCAGGAGGCTGAGGCAGGTGGATCGCTTGAGCCCAGAGTTTGAGGCTGCAATGAGCTATGATTGTGCCACTGCACTCAAGCATGGGCAACAGTGTGAGACCCTGTCACTAAAAAGAAAAATAAAAAATTAAATGTAACAAACTTATCCAGAGTACAAACTGCTGAGTCTCTATGTCAGCTATAATGTACACATTGCATGATATATAAGTAGTAGAAACATATATATACATATTATATAGCATATTAATAGTATTAAAAATAATATAGTTCCTCTTTACAGATACTATGTGATAATTAAATAAAATAATGTATGTTATGCATTAAACAGTATGTTGGGGGCAATGTAAACACTCCCCTCACCAATGTATAAGCTATTGCTTTTCTATGCAAGTATTCTATTCAAGAAAGAGCCTATAATGAAAAGAAAATTGGAGCTATGTTTTTTTCTCCCAGAGTAAAGTTAGTAAGAGCCAGCATATACTTATGTGCTATTCATTTGAAAAAGGAACTAGGCTGGGTGCTCATGCCTGTAATCCCAGCACTTTAAGGGGCCAGGGCAACCTGAAGTCCAGACCAGCCTGGCCAATGTGGCGAAACTCTGCCTTTACAAAAATACAAAAAAATGGCCGGGTGCAGTGGCTTATACCTGTAATCCCAGCATTTTGGGAGGACGAGGTGGGCAGATCACTTGAGTCTGGGAGTTCGAGACCTGCCTGGCCAACATAGTGAAATCCCCTCTCTACTAAAAATACAAAAATTAGCAGGGAGTGGTGGCACACGCCTGTAATCCTAGCTACTTGGGAGGCGGCTGAGACAGGAGAATCGTTTGAACCCAGGGGATGGAGCTTGCAGTGAGCCGAGATCCTGCCACTGCACTCCAACCTGGGTGACAGAGCGAGACTCCATCTCAAAAAAAAATTAAAAATACAAAAAAATTAGCCAAGCATGGTGGCATACACCTGTAGTCCCAGCTACTCGGGAGGCTGAGGCACAACTGCTTGAACCTGGGAGGCAGAGGTTGCAGTAAGTGGAGATCGTGCCAATGTACTACAGGCCTGGGCAACACAGCAAGACTCCATCTCAAAAACAGAAAAAGAAAAAGGAATTCATTCAAGGAAGCAAGGAATATCTAACTCTAATCAAGGAGACCATGTTTTATTCTTTGATTTAAAAAAAAAACTATAACCTAATCAACAGAATTATCTCATGAATGTGCCAACACAAAGGGGGTTAAAGTTTTAGGGGGAACCCCCCAATATTCATCAATGCCACATTTTGGTCACCAAAGAGGTATGCTTTATTGTGGAACATATTTTTCCACTGTTTCGATAAATTATTTAGGATGATCCGATTGATCGTGTAGAGCTTTAAAATCCTCACATCCTTTGATTTAGCAATTCCTTCCCTTTTTTTTTTTTAGAGATGGGACCTCACTATGTTGTCCAGGCTAGTCTCCAATTTCTAGGCTCAAGCAATCCTCCCGCCTCCACATCCCAAAGTGCTAGGATTACAGGCATGAGTCATTGTGCCTGGCAAGATCCAGCAATTCCTAAAAAAATTTATACAAATAAAATATTCTAAAACAAGAAGTGTTTTATCGATTAAACATTCATAGTATTATTTAAAATATCAAGAAAGCAAAAATAATGAAGTGTTGAGCAAATTATAGCACCCTAAACATTCTTCTTCATAAAATTTATGGCAGTGTATTTTATATCCATTTACCTACATCCCTCTCTAGAACGCGGGTACAGAGAACATGGAGATCATTTTACTTATCTTCACATTCTAGGATCTAACACAATCTCTACTTTCCTTCTATTCTTTATTTCGTTTCCCCCACCTCCTTTTTTTTTTTTTTTTTAAGAGACAGGATCTTGAGGTTGCCCAGGCTGGAGTGTAGTGGTGTGATCATATCTCACTGTTACCTCGAGCTCCTGGGCTCAAGTGATCCTCCTGCCTCAATCTTCCAAGTAGCTGGGACTACAGGTGCATGCCACCACACCTAACTTTTTTATATTATTTGTAGAGATGGGGTGTCAGTATTCTGCCCAGGCTGGTCTCAACCTCCTTCCCTTAAGGGATCCTCTCACCTTGGCATCCCAAAGCACTGAAATCACAGGCTTGAACCCCTGTGCCCGGCCTTATTTTCTAAATATTATGCAGAGAACAATTACCATTCTTTTTTATTAGTAAAATATACTTTAAACTCCTACAAATCAAGTTTTTAACAGACAGACAACCCAATTAAAAACTGGACAACGTCGGGCGTGGTGGATCGCATCTGTAAACCCAGCACGTTGGGAGGCAGAGGCGGGCGGATCACGAGGTCAGGAGTTTTGAGACAAGCCTGGCTGACATGGTGAAACCCCATCTCTACTAAAACTACAAAAAAATTAGCCGCGCGTGGTGGGCGCCTATAATCCCAGCTACTTGGGAGGCTGAGGCAGGAGAATCGCTTGAACCTGGGAGGTGGAGGTTGCAGTGAGCCAAGATCGCGCCACTGCACTCCAGCCTGGGCAACAGAGCAAGACTCTCTGTCCCCCCCAAACACACACACACACACACACACACACACACAAACTGGACAAAAGACTTCACAAAAGACAATACCCGAAAGGCCAAAAAGCACTTGAAAAGGTTAACTCTACTACTCACTGGGAAAATGCAAATTAAAACCACAATGAAATACAGTTGACCCTTGAACATGGGGGTTAGGGGTCTCAACCCCCAGTGCAGTCGCAAACCTTCATATAATTTTTCTTTTTTTTGAGACAGGGTTTCACTCCCGTTACCCAGGCTGGAGTGCAATGACGCAATCTTGGCATACTGCAACCTCCGCCTCCCAGGCTCAAGCAATTTTCCTGCTTCAGCCTCTCAGGTAGCTGGGACTATAGGTGCCCGCCACCACATCCAGCTAATTTTTGTATTTTTTATAGAAACAGAGTTTTGCTGTGTTGCCCAGGCTGGTCTCGAATTCCTGAGCTCAAATGATCTGCTGTCTTGGCTTCTGTCTTGGCTTCCCAAGACATATACCTAGGATTACGGGTATATGCCCCATGCATGGCCTAAACTTTGACTTCCCAAAAACTTAACTACTAATAAGCTACTGTTGACCAAAGAAACCTTATGGATAACACAAACTTGATTAACCCATATTTTGTATGTTACATGTATAACATATTGCATTCTTACGAAATAAGCCAGAGAAAAGAATATTAGGAAAATCATAAGGAAGAGAAAATACATTTACAGTGTTATACTGTATTTTCTTTTTCTGTTTCTTTTTTTTTTTTTTTTTTTTTGCTTTGAGATGGAGTCTTGCTCTGTCACCCTGGCTGGAGTGCAGTGGCATGATCTTGGCTCACTGCGACCTGTCTCCCGGATTCAAGCAATTCTCTTGCCTCAGCCTCCTGAGTAGCTGAGATTACAGGCATGCACTACCACACCCAGCTAATTTTTATATTTTTAGTAGAAACAGGGTTTCACCATGTTGGCCAGGCTCGTCGCAAACTCCTGACCTCAAGTGATCCACCCACCTTGGCCTCCCAAAGTGCTGAGATTACAGGCGTGAGCCACCTCGCCCGGCTCCAGCTAATTCTTTTGATTTTTTGTAAAGATGAGGTCTTGCTCTCCTGCCCAGGCTGTCTCAAAATCCTGAGTTCAAGTGATCCTCCTGCCTCGGCCTCCCAAAGGTGTGGGATGACAGGTATTAGCCACCATGCCCAGCCCAAATTTTAATTTTTTATAATAGATGTGAATGCTTTACGGTAGTAAATGATAAAATGGACTAGTATTTACATATTTTATGCATCCATCATGACATACCTTAATTTTTTGATATTTCAAAAAATGAGAATCACCTAAGTTTATTCAAATTGTCACAAATCCTTTCTTCTCCGAGAAAACACCAAATGGTGGATGACACCAGTGCAGCGGGGGGGGGCCCGGAGGCCCTGGGATGGGGAACTGCGGTGGCTTCCGCGGAGGTTTCGGCAGTGGCATCCGGGGCCGGGGTCGCAGCCGTAGACGGGGCCGGGGCCGAGGCCGCGGAGCTCGCGGAGGCAAGGCCGAGGATAAGGAGTGGATGCCCGTCACCAAGCTGGGCTGCTTGGTGAAGGACATGAAGATCAAGTCCCTGGAGGAGATCTATCTCTTCTCCCTGCCCATTAAGGAATCAGAGATCATTGACTTTTTCCTGGGGGCCTCTCTCAAGGATGAGGTTTTGAAGATTATGCCAGTGCAGACGCAGACCCGTGCTGGCCAGCGCACCAGGTTCAAGGCGTTTGTTGCTATCGGGGACTACAATGGCCACGTCGGTCTGGGTGTTAAGTGCTCCAAGGAGGTGGCCACCGCCATCCATGGGGCCATCATCCTGGCCAAGCTCTCCATTGTCCCCGTGCGCAGAGGCTACTGGGGGAACAAGATTGGCAAGCCCCACACCGTCCCTTGCAAGGTGACAGGCCGCTGCGGCTCTGCACTGGTGCACCTCATCCCTGTACCCAGGGGCACTGGCATTGTCTCCGCACCTGTGCCCAAGAAGCTGCTCATGATGGCTGGTATCGATGACTGCTGCACCTCAGCCTGGGGCTGCACTGCCACCCTGGGCAACTTCGCCAAGGCCACCTTTGATGCCATTTCTAAGACCTACAGCTACCTGACCCCCGACCTCTGGAAGGAGACTGTATTTACCAAGTCTCCCGATCAGGAATTCACTGACCACCTCATCAAGGCCCACGCCAGAGTCTCCGTGCAGCGGACCCAGGCTCCAGCTGTGGCTACAACATAGGGTTTTTAGACAAGGAAAATAAAGCGAATTAAGCGTAAAAAAAAAAAATTGTCACAAATCTCAAACAAAAATTCCAACATACTTGTGTAAACAAATTAGCACTGTAAGTGGACCCACGCTATTCAACTCTATGTTGTTCAAAGGTCAACTGCATTTCTATACTTCTACACACCTATTAAAATGTCTAAAATAAAACAGATCTACAATTCCAGAGATCTGTTGTATAACATAGTGACTACAGCTTAGCATAATGTATTGTGTATACTTGAAAACTGCTATGAAAATACATCTTAAATATTCTCACAATAGCAAATCATAACTGTGAGGTGAAGGATCTGTAAATTAGCTTGTCTGTGGTAATCATTTCATGATGTATACATATATTAAAACACCATGGTGTACATCATAAGTATATATAATTATATCAATTATACTTCAAAGCTAAAAAAAGTTTCAAAAATAAAGATTGACAATACCAGATACTGGTGAAGACGTGGCACAAATGAAACTCTCATATTGTCAGTACAAGCAGAAAATTAGTGCAACCACTTGGAAAACTATTTGGCAACTTATTTTTGAAACACATCAACAGGATAGATTGACAGAAGAACGACGAATAGGTATGTGTGAAAGCAAATACAGCAAAACGTTTACTGCAGAATCTAGGTGGTAGGAATGAATATGGGTATTCAAACAATTCTGTCAACTCTTGTTTATTTTTGAAAATTTCTGTAGTAAAATGCTGCAGGAAAAACTAAATATACATGTGGCTCCATTATCCAGTAACTCTATCCCTGGATATATACTCAAAATAGGTGCTCAGGTATAATGTTCACAGCATCTTTATTTATACAGCCAAAAATTGATACTACCCAAATACACATAATGGAATGAATAAGTAAAATGTGGTATATTTACACAATTTTGAATACTGCATAGCAATGAAAAAGAATGTGAACTACTGCCATTACGTAAGAACACAAATTTCACAAAGAATGCTAGAATGTTATTCAGTTTGAAATTCATGACCACACAAAACAAATATGGGTGATAGGAGGTCATAAGGACCAACAGTTACCTTTGGAAAAAAGGTACTAACTGTTGGAGGGGGCAGGAGGGAGCCTTTTGGGGGCTTGGAAACAGACTATATTATAGTTGTGGCTATATTTTGCAAGTGCACTAGCCTACGTAATTAAGAAACCTGCTGGGTGCAGTGGCTCACACCTGTAATCCCAGAGCTTTGGGAGGCTGAGGCAGGAAGATCACTTGAGCCCAATGCTATCCTGGGTAACACAGCGAGAGCCCTATCTCAATCAATCGACCAATCAATCAGTCAATCAAAAGAAACTCAAGATATTCTGTTAAAGATACACTAGTTTCTGTATAATACATTTTAATTAAAATTTACACACACATACTTTTACTGTACAAAATTACACAACTCAATGACCTCTAAATTCATGTCCACCATCTAACAATTAGTCCGACCCGACTGACTCCAAAATCCTTGAACACCAAAATCCTCAGATGCCCAAGTCCCTTATATAAAATGGCATATTTGCACATAACCTGTACACCCTCCCATATACTTTAAATCATCGCTAGATTACTTATAATACCTAATACAATGTTATGTAATAGTTACACTATATATTTTTTTAATTTGTATTAGCTCTTGTATTATTTTTTATTGTTTTCTTTCCCAAATATTTTCTGTGATTGGATGGATCAGAGGATGTGGAACCTGTGAATACAGAAGGCTATCTTTTTGACTCCAAGCTCCACCACTCAATTTAATCAGGGCAGCTCTGTTGTTTTTATTCATTTTTTATACTCAAGTTCCAAGTAAGATTATCCAAAGGATACAGAAGCTAAAAAGTACATTTGTGATTCACTGCCCTATCACAAACTGATCACACAACTTCAAAACTATATACAAAACCATTTAATAATTGATTATGTACTATTTCATGCTGACCTCATAATTGCTTCATGTCTTATCCCTTAACTGTAGGCTCCTAGGGGTAAGAGACTCATCATTTCTCCTTTCCCCGTTGAGCTTAAAACATACTTGCTAACTGATAGAAGAAACTAGAGGCCGGGCGCCGTGGCTGACGCCAGTAATCCCAGCACTTTGTGAGGCCGAGGCGAGCGGATCACCTGAGGTCGGGAGTTCGACACCAGCCTGACATGGAGAAACCCTGCCTCTACTAAAAATACAAAATTAGCCAGGCATGGTGGCGCCGCCTATAATCCCAGCTACCCGGGAGGCTGAGGCAGGAGAATCGCTTCAACCCAGGAGGCAGAGGTTGCAATGAGCCAAGATCGTGCCACTGCACTCCAGCCAGGGTGACAGAGCAAGACTCCATCTCAAAGCCAAAAAAAAAAAAAAGAAAAAGAAAATACAGTATAGCACTGTAAATGTATTTTCTCGTGACACTGCACTCCAACCTGAGCAACAAGAGCGAAGCTCCATCTCAAAAAAAAAAAAAAAAAAAAAAGAAGAAACTAGGTATCAAGCATGGTATTTCTTACCCTTAAGGCCTCGCTACTCAATTATGGTAAACTGCTTCTTTTTCTTCCACAAAAATAAGGTTTAAACTGTTATACAAAATTACATGTAACTTTAACTAACTGGGTCAATTATAAAGTCTCACTCTTCTTAAAGCCATTCAACTTTATGAGTGTTCAGAAAATTTTAAGAGTTTTAGAAGCAAATATATTTGGAGGGTTGCTTTCTTCATTCCCACACTTTCAGATCCTTTAGTTACCTTACAGTATGCTTTCTAGATTAAGTAACAAGATAATTACTCATTTGGCCCCTGGGAGTACACTCTAGGCTGGCAATTTAATTAAAAGATAGGGACACACGCATTCATTGTCAAAATAAGGAACTCATCTAAGAGTTCAAAAGGCCAATTTGAATATAAAAATCAATAGGTCAAGCAAATTCTCCAAGAGGATAAAATACATTTACTTCTCCCTTATCACTTTACTTTTCAACTTTGGCCAGGCCTAGCAGCTCATGCCTGTTATTCCAGCACTTCACTTTAGGAGGGTGAGGCAGGAGGATGGCTTGGGGCCAGGAGTTCAAGACCAGCCTGGCCAACATAATGAGACACTGTCTTTACAAAAAAAAAAAACAAAAAAACAAAAAACCACATACTTCCATTTAACCTGAGGAACCTAATTGAAAACCAAAAAACCCAGACACTTTGACTGGATGTGGTGGCATGAGCCTGTGGTCCCAGCTACTTGGGAGGCTGAACCAGGAGGTTGGCTTGAGCTCAAGAGTTTGCGGCTGTAGTGTGCTATGATCATACCTGTGAATAGCCACTGCACTCCAGCCTAGGCAACAAGGTGAAACCCCGTCTCTAAAAAAAAAAATAACTACACACTGTGGCTATCTAAGCCAGCTCTTCCTCAATCTTTCACTCACATTTCCACTGACTTCTCTCACCACCTCACTCTCACTTTCATTTAGATCACAGCTGAAAAAAGCCTGAACTCTGAGCATGTTAAAAATACCATAAATATTTGTTAATTCAATATTAAAAGTTACTGGTAAGGAATCAACTGTTTACAGCCTATTATTTTTTCCTTTTTTTTTTTTTTTTTAAGAGATAAGGTCTCACTCTGCTGCCTAGGCTGGAATGCAGTGGCTCAATTATAACTCACTGCAGCCTCGAACTCCTGGGCTCAGGTAACCCTCCTGCCTCAGCTTCCTGATTAACTGGGACCACAGGCACAAGCCCAGCTCCAATTTTTCAGTGTATAGTTCAGTGGTATTACATAAAGTTATGTAGCCATTAAACTATCCATCTCCATAACTTTTCATCTTATAAAACAGAAAACTCTACCCACTAAACAATAACTCTCCACTTACAGCCTAAATATTTTCTTGTAGAAATGGGAGTCTCACTGTGTTGCCTAGACTGGTCTCAAACTCCTGGATGCAAGCAATCCTCCCGCCTCAGCCTACCAAAGCGCTGAGATTACAGGTGTGAGCCACCACACCTGGCCTTCCCCATGCCCCCATTCACTCTGTTGCCCAGGCTGGAGTGCAATGGTGCCATCACAGCTCATTATACCTTCCAACTCCTGAGCTCAAGCATTCCTTCTGCCTCAGCCTATAGCTGGGACTACAGGCATGTGCCAACACACCTGACTAATTTTTTATTTTTTTGTAGAGACGAGATCTCGCTATTTTGCCCAGGCTGGTTTCGAACTCCTGGGCTCAAGCAATCCTTCCCACTTGGCCTTCCAAAGTGCTGGTGTACAGGTATGAGCCACTGCACACAGCCTGTCGTCTTCTTTTTTGTTGTTGTTGTTGAGATGGAGTTTCACTCTTGTTGCCCAGGCTAGAGTGCAACAGCGCAACCTAGCCTCAACACAACCTCCACCTCCTGGGTTCAAGAGATTCTCCTGCCTCAGCCTCCCAAGTAGCTGGGATTACAGGCATGTGCCACCACACCCGGCTATTTTTGCATTTTTAGTAGAGACGGGGTTTCTCTATGTTGGTCAGGCTGGTCTCAAACTCCTAACCTCAGGTGACCCGCCCACCTCAGCCTCCCAAAGTACTGAGATTACAGGTGTGAGCCACTGTGCCTGGCCACCTGTCTTCTTTCTTGACTGTGTCTCAGCCAAGGTAAATTCTGCACATGAAGAGGGAAGTGATAAGAGGTTGATTGCAGATACAATCAGAATTAGAGATGTGTTGTATTTCTTTTCTTGCCTCAAGTCGTTTGCAAATATGTCTTTTATGTATTACCTTCCTTACTTCAGGTACAGAGTTAGGGATGTATTTCTGTCCTGTACTCATATGGGTTATTAAAAATAGGCTGTTGGTGTCCAGCCCAGTAGCTCACGCCTGTAATCTCAGCACTTTGGTAGGCCTAGGTGGGTGGATCACGAGGTCAGGAGTTAAGACCAGTCTGGCCAACATGGTGAAACCCCATCTCTACTAAAAATACAAAAAATTAGCCAGGTGTGGTGGTGCTTGCCTCTAATCCCAGCTACTCAGGAGGCTGAGGCATGAGAATCGCTTGAACCCAGGTGGCAGAAGTTGCAGTGGGCTGAGACTGCACCACTGCACTCCAGCCTGGGCGATGGAGTAAGACTCCATCTCCAAAAAAAAAGGCTGTTGGGTGGGCATGGTGGCTCACACTTGTAATCTCAGCACTTTGGGAGGCCGAGGTGGGTGGACTGCTTGAGTTCAGGAGTTTGAGACCAGCCTGGGCAATATAGTGAGACCCCGTCTCTACTAAAAATACAAAAAATAGCTGGGTGTGGTGGTATGCACCTGTGGTCCCAGCTATTCAGGAGACTGAGATGGGAGGACTGCTTGACCCGTCTCTACAAAAAATAAAAATTAGCCAGGCAAAGTGGTGCACGCCTATAGTCCCAGCTACTCAGGAGGCTGAGGTGGGAGGATGGCTTGGGCCCGTGAGGTTGAGGCTTCAGTGAGCCGTGACCATGCCACTACATTCAGCCTAGGCAACAGAGTAAGATTATGTCTCAAAGAAAGAAAAAGAATCCCAATCTACATAAGTATTTCTATTAAAACTTTTAAAGATCAAAATTCTGCAACAAAGGTTTCTACTATTACCTAAAAAATATTTTAAGAAAATCAAGTGCTCAGATCTTATGTACCAAGTAACTCACCATCCCATCTCCATCTTCTCAAGTTACCCTATAATTAGCTCTAGAATTAAACTCTGAACAGACTATCTTACTCTTAGTGATGCATACAATCTTAATGCCAAAAAATCAGCCTTTATTAAAGCACATTCAGAATGAGAGGTCAGGCAGAAACAAAGAAAAATCCTGCAACAATGGGGTCACACAAATAACAAATAACTGGTTACTTATTTATAAAAGTCACCTAGGCAAGCTGAACTTCATGGAACACAAAACCAAATTCAGGCTGGGCGCGGTGGCTCACGCTTGTAATCCCAGCACTTTGGGAGGCCGAGGCAGGAGGATCACAAGGTCAGGAGATCAAGACCACGGTGAAACCCCGTCCCTACTAAAAATACAAAAAATTAGCCAGGTGTGGTGGCGGGCACCTGTAGTCCCAGCTACTCGGGACAGGCTGAGGCAGGAGAATGGCGTGAACCCGGGAGGCGGAGCTTGCAGTGAGCTGAGATCGCGCCACTGCACTCCAGCCTGGGTGACACAGCGAGACTTCGTCTCAAACAAACAAACAAAAAAAAAAACAAATTCAAAAAATATATAATGAAATTAACTTTCCCAAAGCTCAACGTACTTTATAAATTAGAAGTGATAGGCCAAACACTAAAGCACAGGATTCTGGGAATGCTTAATAGACACTAACAACCATACAATTGCACACTCTTACAGCAAAATGCTGATCATTACATTCACTAAAGTATAAGTGCGTGCTTTGTGAAAATTGTAGTTCTAGCAATGTGAAAATGAACCAGACTTGAATTCTAAAAGAGCAGATGTGACACTGTCACAAATAATTAAAATTAAAAGGGTAAAGTGTCTTAAGAATGGTGCATGAATAAAGGAGTTCAGATTAAGAAAAGTGTATGTAGGAGAAATCAGAATTCGTGGATTCTTGGCATTTGAACTGGGCCCTGGATATTAGAAATGAGACTGGGAAGGATTAAGGAAGAACATTCTGGGCAATGGATACAGAATGGGCAAAGACAGGAAAGCAGAAGACATACATGGAATACAGCAAACTGCTCAGTATGACTGGAGTATACAGGTTGTATAAAAGAAAGCACAAGGCTATGAAGAGCTGAAAAAGTATATGTAGAGCCAAATCATGACTTTGAATGCTAAGTCAGATATCTTCAGTGGTTAGTCCTAATAAAGAATCATTAAGGGCCGGGCGTGGTGGCTCACGCCTGTAATCCCAGCTCTTACGGAGGCCAAGGTGAGTGGATTACCTGAGGTTAGGAGTTGCACACCAGCCTGAGCAATATGGTGAAACCCCATTTCTATTAAAAATACAAAAATTAGCTGGGTGTGGTGGCGCATGCCTGTAATCCCAGCTACTCGGGAGGCTGAGGCAGGAGAATTGCTCGGACCCGGGAGGCGGAGGCTGCAGTGAGCTGAGGTGGCACCACTGCACTCCAGCCTGGGCAACAGAGTGAAGACTCTGTTTCAAAAAATAATAATAATAATAATAACAATCATTAAGGATTATGAGGCAAGTGATCTGATCCGGGATGAAATTTATCTGGCAACATGGTATAAAATGAATGAGGAGGAGACATCAATTATGTTGCTGTAAGAACTGATGAGGACAATTATGATGGTGACCTTACAAGGTAAGAAGTCACAGTTCTAATTTAGTCTATCATCAAATATTCACTGGGTGTCTACAATATGGAAGGTAACATTCTACTCCACTAAGATATCTTACAAGTTTAATGTATCATTCTCATTCTTGAGGAAACTGATGTGGAGAAACAACTGTTAAAGCAACAAAAGCTAATAAGGCAATATATGATTTCCAGATAAATGTTACAAACACAAAAAAACTGTACATGACAAATCAGCAGAGACAGGAAAAAAATGGTCAGTGAAGGCTTTATTAACAAAGGTGGAGTTAGTTGATCTGCCCCTCAATAAGAAGGCTGAACTTCTTGAGCATAAAGAAGGGGAGGGATAAAACTTCAAAAAGGTAAATTGTTAAAAGCTGAATAATTGTATAATAAGGCCTAGATACGTGAAATAAATTTGGAGATATTTTCCACCCAAATGTTAAACAAAATGCTAATAAAAAAACACAACCCTTTAATTATCTAAATTTAACTTCGTAAGTTATCAGGAAAATGAGGCATTAATATACCATTACAGGCAGGGCACAGTGACTCACATCCGTAATCCCAACACTGGGAGACATGGTGGGAGGATCACTTGAGCCCAGGAGTTCGAAACTAGCCTGGGCAAAGTGAGACTCCATCTCTAAAAAAAACAAGCCCATCCCCCACAAAACATTATAGCATTGCATGCTTAAAAATAAGCAGTACATTCTAGATTTTTTATAAGGAAGGGGGTTATTTTTAGTGCATTCTACAGGATAAACCAATCCTTTTAACAACAAAAGAGGGTTTTTGGTTTTGTTTGTTTTTTGTTTTTGTTTGGTATTTTAATAGAGATGGGGGTCTCACTTTGTTGCCCAGGCTGGTCTCGAATTCCTGGGGTCAAGTGATCCTCCTGCCTCTGCCACCTAAGTGCTGGGATGACAGGTGTGAGCCACTGTGCCCAGCCAAAAAAAAAAAAAAAAAAAGGTATCTTGAAGAAAGCTTTATGCAGACACAATTTGAAATATCCAAAATGTTACATTTTCTTATTTGTCAAAAAAGCTCCCCAAAACAATCTGATAAATTCTTTCCTTTTTCATATTTTACATGTAAGCGGCAGAGCCAGAATTTGAACACAGGACAATCTGACTCTAAAAGCAGAGCTATACTTGCATTCAATGCTATACAAACTTATTTTCTCAGGATTTTAAAATTTCAAATGTATCAATCAAAAAGTATAGGTCGGGGAAGAAGACTGGCGAATCTCAAACTATATAACTACTGCAAAATTGAGAGACACCTATCCTTATTTTTATATATTCAGATTAGAAAATGTAACATGGTTTGTTGTTCAATGAATATTACACTCTTTTAACAAAGTGCCTCCCTCAATTTAGCACATAACAAAGCTCTTGACAGTGACACAGGGGTACCTCAAGCTGTTTTACATATGCCTTTCAGGGCTGGGCTGCCTACCTGGCCTCCCCCTCTCATGGACCTCCCTTCTTCAGCCTTTCCTGGCTTATCCTCCCACTCACTGTCCTTCCAAGATTGCCTTCGCTGGGCAGATTTCCTCTGTATTATTTTTAAACATTTAGGAATAAGGGAGTTGGGTAGAGGGTGCGACAAATTTGTTTCTACTTTCTAATTTGACAAACACCCTAAATCTCTTTGCATCCAATACTTCAAGAATAGGGATTCAAGTACTTTCTTTTTCTCCCCCAAGTACTTTCCCATTACATAAATATCTTGCGGTGATATATATACACGGTAAAAACCCCTAAATCACTTAACACTTAGTGTAAACCAATTGCTGTATTTAATATTACTGGAATTTGACTTTTTAGGATTCCTTAAAACTGATCTACAACAGCTAGACACGGTGGTGTAACCCTGTAGTCCCAGCTACTCAGGAGGCTGAAGCCACAAGATCCTTTGAGACCAGGAAGTGGAGGCTGCAATGCACTATAATTGCACCTGTGAATAGCTACTGCCCTCCAGCCTGGGCAACACAGCAAGACCTCATCTCTAAAGGAAATAAATTTTTTTTAAAACCTGAGCCAGGCAGAGTAGAAGTGCACCTGTAACCCTAGCTACTCAAGAGGCTGAGGCAGGAGTATCCCTTGAGCCCAGGAGTTTGAGACTAGCAACATAATGAGACCCTGTCTCTATTTTTTAAATTTAAAAAATATAAAGGGCAGGCTCAGGGGCTTACGCCTGTAATCCCAGCACTCTGGAAGGCCAAGGTGGGCAGATCACCTGAAGTCAGGAGTTTGAGACCAGCCTGGTCAACATGGCAAAACTCCATCTCTACCAAAAGTACAAAAATCAGTTGGCCTTGGTGGCGCATGCCTGTAGTACCAACTACTCCAGAGGCTGAGGCAGGAGAATCGCTTGAACCCAAGAGGCAGAGCCAAGATGACACCACTGCACTCTAGCTGGGCAACAAGGTGAGACTTGGTCTCAAAAAAGAGAAAACAAAAAAACCCAAACATATATATACAGAGAGAGACCAGCCTGGGTAACACAGGGAGGCCCAGTCACAAAACAAAAAAACAAACAAAAAAAAACCTGATCTACAATATAGAAGCAAAAATGGCACTAGGAATATGCAGAGTTCTTGTAAGCAGTGCAACTATACCTGCCTCAAATACATTAGTTCATTTAAAAGAAATCTATTCATTCGTTCAACCAAATTACTGAATGCCTAACATGTGCCAGGCACTGTTATAAGTACTTAGGAAACACCAATTAAAAAAAAAAATCCCCTTTCCTCCTTTCTACCTAGTGGGAGAAGACAGGTAATAGACAACGCAACTTTCTAACACATGTTGGAATGTAATAAATGGTATTGGGGGGGAAAACAACAGGGTGAGAGGGACTTCCAGGTTATTAGGGCAGGTTGCACTTTCAAACAGGGTGGTCAGAGAAGGTTTAAGGGGGCAGTGAGAAAAGACTTGAAGGAGGTAAGGGAGTCAGTCAGCCATGAAATCTGGGGAAGAGTATTCCAGAATAAGGAGGACAAAGGTCCTAGAATAGCAATGAGGACAGGGAAGCTGGAGGGAAGCCAACAAAGGGGTTAGCTGTAGGTGTCAAGGGACATGCGTGGAAACAAGGGGTACAGATTATGTAGGGTTTATGCGACACTATAAGGAATCTGATTTTTACTTTGAATGAAACAAGGATCCACACAGAGGGTTGGGGAGACTGTCATGCTCAGTTTTACCAAAATAACTGTGGCTGTTGTATTGAGGACAGGCCTTAGCGAGGACAAGGGTGAAAGCAGGGATAACTGTTAGGAGGCTACAAAAGAAACCATGGAAAGAAATATACACTTCCTACAAACTTGGATCATAATGGTGCAGGGATTTACTTTAAGGCAAAAATAAATAAAAACAAATTTGTCAGATGTTAATAGGAAATAACTGTAACTGGCTCTTGTCATTATATGTACATTGTACATATAAAGCAGCAAACAATGACATCTTTTAACTACTCACCTCAAGAGAACATGTTCCTTTACAATCAGCTATTCACTGTTAATTACATATAATTTGTTGAAAAAGTTACTTTTATCAACTGAGAATACTATAAATCTGCTGTGTGAGGTAGCTAACGCCTGTAATCCCAGTCTTTGGGAGGCTGAGGGAGGAGGATCACCTGAAGCCAGGAGTTTGAGGCTGCCAAGTGAGCAATCCAGTCTAACCTGGATGACAGAGGGAGATTCTCAACTCAAATAAATGAATAAATAACCTTGGATTGCTGTTTCTCAGATCATCTAAAATAACCATTCCTAAGACAGATCTTATTTCTTTGGGGGTGGGGGACAATACTTTTTCTCCAAAAGTTTCTTTTTATGCTCCCATGTTTTAAAGTAATTTTCTTCTGATTGATACTGAATTTGTATATTAGTCTGCGTCATTCACTTCAGGAAACTGCAACCATAAAAAACTCCCACTGTCAAAAATATAACATTTCCAAAAAAAGTTCCTTCATGACACCAAAAACCCCTCATCCCTCATCATCACCTAGTTCTTCTGGAAAAGGCAAACACAGTTTCCATAAATTCTAGTACCTTTAATAGTACAATTATCATAAGGATAGGAGAAAGAGAACAAGTCAAAGATATTCAATTAAGAAAGGGGATAGGAGGCAGGAGAATTTGCTTGAGGCCAGGAGTTCAAGACCAGCCTAGGCAACATAGGAGTCCCTGTCTCTATTTTTTTAAAAATAGAAGGGGGTGAGGGTAGGGAGCATAAGAGATTTTAAAATAAAAACTTCATGCCAGATGCGGTGGCTCATGCCTGTAATCCTAGCACTTTGGGAGACTGAGGTGGGTGGACTGCTTGAGGTCAGGAGTTCAAGACCAGCCTGACCAACATGGTGAAACCCCGTCTTTACTAAAAATACAAAAATTAGCTAGGTGTGGTGGCACGCGCCTGTAATCCCAGCTACTCAGGAGGCTGAGGCAGGAGAATCGCTAGAACCCGGGAGGTGGAGGTTGCAGTAAGCAGTGAGATTGTGCCACTGCACTCCAGCCGGGGTGACAGAGCGAGACTCCATCTCATTAAAAAAAAAAAGTTAAATAAGCACTTTTGTTGTATAGTAAACATAGGAGGGAAAGACAGTGAAGGATAAACATAGCTTGCTTGCTTCACTCAAAGGTACTTGTAAAGACACCCAGATTCAGCTTTGATTTTTAAGAGACTACCCTGTGACAACTTACTTTGGAAAAAATATTTGTGTAAATACAGAAAATACTAAATTCAACTTCATTAATTAATTCAGCATTTAGGTGCTTATGTGCCAGAAACTGAGCGAGGGGAGAGTCCCTGTTCTCAAGGGCTTTTACTCGTAATTTATCTCCCAGTTACTGAGTCCCTACTGAGGCAGATGCGAGGGATACAACAGCAAACCGGAAACACAGATTCTCTACCTTCACGCAGCTTGCACTGAAGGAGGCGATTACAAGGATGAGACACACATCTAACAAAGATACAACACTAAAGTGTTATAGATATTGCTTATGGAAGTGTAGAGGTTTCAGTGGGGACACAAGGGATTCGGGCTGGGAAGGAAGGGAATGCTGGGACTTCAGACATGAAAGCTGAGTTCTCAAAGAGGATTAGATGTCCACCTGGCTGACCCGGGCGAAGGGCTCCAAGCAGAGAGGAACTGGAGCAAAACAAAGCTGTGAACAGCCTGGTGTATTTGGTAGGCCTGGAATATAGAACGTAAGAGGGAGAAGTCATGGAGGCTTCTGTAATACCACAATCAAGACTGGACCTTACTGGTATATATGAAATGCCCCCAGAAGAATTTTATTCAGAAAACGAGCATATATATGATCAGGTTTTTCTGGTGTGATGAGACATTGGTTTACACAGGAATGAGAAAAGAAAACACTAGATAATGATGTCATCACATGAAACAACAAAGGAGCCTACCCAGTCAGAAAACTAAACTCTTCAGGAAGAAATTAAGCACTACTACTATTGAAGCCCTCTGGAAAAGGGTGTATTCAATATCATCTAAAATGGAAAAAGTACAGGAAAGGTTTTCACACATCTATTGTGGATTATAACATCCACATACCTATTTTGAGTTTAAGAGGTCTTCACTCGAATTCTGCAACACATCTGGGACTACTGATTATTGTACAAAAAGCAGTACAACGTATTTAGGAGAGTCTTTGATACAAAGGGAGAACACGAGTAACCGAAGGAATTTCCCAAGCCAGGTTTAAAGGTTTCCAAAGTTCAAGCTAATCAAGTTTTCTTAAGTCAGCACGTTTAAAAGGTGTGTCATATGGGTGGAGCAAAAAGAGGAGGGATTAAAATTTATATACATATATATATATATATATATACACATATATATATATATACACACACACACAAGTAACTCGATGTCGCTAGGGTTAAAATCACCACTTGGAGATCCGTCTCCCAAGCAGAGGGAAAACCTGCCAGATCCAATTAACAAAAAGACGAGGGAGGTGGGTAAGAGGACGACCACACATGAAAACATAAATGGGGCGGGGGGGTGGTGCTTGGCAACCACCTATCCAGAACCCATAATCCAGTTGGCGGTGCGATGAGGAAATCATACGATTCAGACATAAAGACAGGAAAATGTCACTCCCAAACTCCACAAGCGAACCACCAGACACTGGCCAAGGGGATGTGATCACATACTCTGATCCCAGAACTCAAGGGCAGAGGGTATCATCCCCACACGGTGCCCGAGGGCAGGCGAAGAATCAACCTTACTCTGAGATCAGAGAGCAAATGCCCTCAGATCCAGCCCTAAGGGGTCAATGCCGCCCAGGCCAGGCCTTGCCGAAGCCAGGGGCAGAGACGGCCCCGAAGCCCCCTCAATCTCCGCCAGAGCTGCCTCTACTCGCTCCCCCCAACACACACCCTCCCCTACCTGATATGGCGGCGGCGGCTCCTGATCCGGCTCCGTCCCCTCGCCAAAGCTAGCCCGGTCGGACTGAGACTCGTGAAGCAGGGAGATGTCATCCGAGGTGGGGGATTTGAGGCAGTTCCCCATCTTCCGGAGCTGGGGTGCGTGATCTGGGGGAGGAGAAAGCAGCGGTGGGGTCGTTCGCACACTCCGCGGTCCGCCTCGGTTGGCGAGGTGGGGTCGGGCGACAGGCCGGGGATCAGGCGGAGGCGACTCCACCGCCCCACGGTGCCGCCGAGGGGCCGCTCATGCCAGCCCCCGGGGTTGGGGGATCAAGGCTGGGCCGCGGGCTCCGCTGGGGTCGCGGCGTTCGCCTCCTGCGAGGCAGCGATGGGGGGGGGGGGGCGGGGAGACGAAGCACTTCCCCACCCCGCCCCCCCGCGGGGCGGCGGCGGCCACGGAGCTGCTGGGCCTAATCCAGGTCAGCGGGGGGGGGCGCGGCCGTCGCGGCTGCCTCAGCTGCTGCCTCAGCTGCTGCTGCCCCCGCCGACGCCGGAGCCACGGCCGCGGGCCTCATCCTACTCCGCCTCAGCGAGACGGCGGCAGCCAGAACGAGGCCGGCTCGGGCACTGCGTCATCGCGCCGTGCGTGCTCTGGTCCCGCCCCCGGCGCCAGGAGGCGAGGGCGGCTCCGGCGGCGCCCATCCCCCTCTCCACTAGCAGCTGTTCTCGGTGCTGCGTCAATTTTTGCTTCTCTCTGACTGCTTGGCTCCGTACCTGGCTCCGAAACCAATCTCCCGTCTCCCGCGCCTCCCCACATTCATTGCTCCTGCCCCGTCTAGGGCTCAGTTCTTACCTGTGCACTGCCTGACAGTCTTCTCACCACCCTCCGCCAAGCGGTCTATTTATATAAACCCATATCGGAATGGATCAGTCCCATGATTAAAATGTTAAAAGCTTCCCCTTTATCCCTTCACAATAAAGTCCTAGCTCGTTACTGAACCATCCCTGCCTGTCCAATCACGTCCTTATCCTTCCACATCACAGCCAGAGAGATTATTCTTCCAGTTGTATATCAGATTGTTCATTTCTTTCCAGTCCCAGCACCAAAGTCCAAGCCACCATCATCTCTCACCTTGGCTTCTGCAATAGACTCTCAGCTGTTCCTGAGTTCATCATTGCCCACATCCAATTCACTGTTGGCACAGTTGACAGAGTTATCTTTTTAAAATTTAAATCGGATCATGTCATTCTCCTGTTAAAACCTTCAGTGTCTCCTCAAGGCTGTCCTTAAGACAATCCTTAAATGGTTTACAAATCTGACTCCCTTTCAATCTCATTAGCAGCATTGTCACCTCCTTCACAAATTCTAAACTAGACTCTCTAAAATGCTTTTCGTTATCTGGAATACTATTGCCTCTGCCTGGGGCCTTTGTCCATATTGTTTCTCTCACAGAAACCCACTTCCCTCCACTCCCAACCTTTCTGCTTCTCATCAGGCTAATCATTATTCTCAGGAATCCTTCTGGATGCAACTTCATTTCCCCTGGGGAGACTCTCCTGACCCTCCAGTCTGGGTTAGTCGCATCCTGTGTGCTCTCAGACCCTGAGCTTTTCTCTGTCACAGCCTGATCAAGCTGAATCATCTGTCCCTCTGTGCAAGGCTGGCACACTGCCCAAGGTAGAGTATGCTCTCTCCTTGGTTGAATGAGCAGCTCAAACAACATATGCAAAAGAAGGAAGCAAGAAGGATGACAGTGCTCCTGATAGACGTTCATTCAACAGGTGGATCTTGACTGCCTTTCGTTTCATTCACCATTTACTGAAGTTGTGTGTGCGTGTGTATACCAGACCCCACGCTAAGGACTGGGGAAAAGGATGATCATACCTGGCTTGTTCCTGATAGAGCCCAGAGACCACCTGGGAAGACAAGTAATCAGGTGAGTCCTAAGCCCACACCCTGCCACGGACCCCAAGGTTTTTAGAGGAACTGAAAGACAGCAATTAGTTCATTTGAGTGAGGAACAGAAAGGATTCTTAGAGGTAGGGCTATATTAAACTCGAATGGGTCTGAACACTCTTACTCTGCAGTCCCTATTCTACGAAGTCACTATCTTATTTAAATGCACTCAAATTCCACATTAAATATCACCTTTTTGATATAAAATTTTTGAAAAGACTCATAATTTTGGGCCAGGCGTGGTGGCTTACGTCTGTAATCCCAGCAATTTGGGAGGTCAAGGCGGGTGGATCACTTGAGGTCAGGGATTCGAGAGTAGCCTGGCCAACATGGTGAAACCCCATCTCTACTAAAAATACAAAAACTAGCCAGGTGTGCTGGTGCACGCCTGTAGTCCCAGCTACTCGGGAGGGTGAGGCAGGAAAACCGCTTGAACCTGGGAGGTGGAAGTTGCAGCGCAGTGAGCCCAGATTGTGCCACTGCACTCTAGCGTGGGCGAGGGAGTGAGTAAGACTCAGTCTCAAAAAAAAAAGGAAGGAGAAAGAGAGAGAGAGAGAAGGGAGGCAGGAAGGAAGGAAAGAAGGAAGGGAGAGAAAGAGAAAGAGAAAAGAGAAAGAAAAGAAAGAAAGAAAGAAAAGAAAGAAAGAAAGAAAGAAAGAAAAAGAAAAAGAAAGGAAAGAAGGAAAGAAAGAACAAACTGACTCACAATTTTGGTTTTGGAATTGTTGAGCTTCCAAGAACTCATTTAATTTATGATTGGCTAAATTTACCAGAAATCAGAGGTACCCTGGAATTTTTACAAAGTGAGAAAATTTACCCCACAAATTATTGTCAAACCTAAAGAAATTTTTATTAATAATAATTTATACAATTATTTGACATAATATTTACACAGTGCTAGAATTTGTAGACATTGTTTGTTTGTTTTGGAGACAGGGTCTCACTCTGTCACCCAGGCTGGCTTGATCGAGGCTCACTGCAGCTTCAACCTCCTGGGCTCAGGTGATCCTCCTGCTTCAGGCCTCTCCAGTAACTAGAACTACAGATGCACACCACCATGCCTTGCATTTGTTTTTGTTTTTGGTAGAGACGAAGTCTTGCCATGTTGCCCAGGCTGGTCTCAAACTCCTGGGCGCAAGCGATCCTCCCGCCTCAGCCTCCCAAAGTGCTGGAATTACAGGTGTGAGCCACTGTATGCCTGGCCAGACATAGATTTATTTAGTTAGTTTTAATTTTTTTTAATTTTTATTTTTTGAGACAGAGTTTTGCTTGTGTTGCCCAGGCTAGAGTGCAATGGTGCGATCTTGGCTTACCGCAACCTCTACTTCCCCGGTTCAAGCAATTCTCCTGCCTCAGCCTCCTGAATAGCTGGGATTACAGGCGCGCACCACCACGCCCAACTAATTTTTTGTATTTTTAGTAAAGACGGGGTTTCACTATGTTGGCCAGGCTGGTCTCGAACTCCTGACCTCAGGTGATCCACCCACCTTGGCCTCTCAAAGTGCTGGGATTATAGGCGTGAGCCAGCTCGCCAGGCCAGATTTATTTTTTTAAGTTTTGTTTTTCATTCTTTTTTTCCACAGGTGGGTAACACTGACACAAGCCCTTGAAAAGTTCTATAGTGCCTTGTGAAAATAAGTTATATTGTTAAGTTTAAAACTAGCTTGGGCTGGGTGCAGTGGCTTACGCCTGTAATCTCAGCACTTTGGGAGGCCGAGGCGGGTGGATCACGAGGTCAGGAGTTCAAAACCAGCCTGGCCAATGTGGCGAAACCCCATCTCTACTAAAAATACAAAAATTAGCCGGGCATGGTGGCATGCACCTGTAATCCCAGCTCCTCAGGAGGCTGAGGCAGGAGAATCACTTGAACCTGAGAGGCGGAGGTTGCAGTGAGCCGAGATCACGCCATTGCACTCCAGCCTGGATAACAGAGTGAGACTCCGTCTCAGTAAACAAACAAACAAACAAGGCTAGTTGTTCACCAGAAGATGGGAGGAGCATTTGAAGCCCATTAATGGCTTGGACATGGTCCCTGCCTTCAAATAGCTCAAACTCAAGTAGATGAGACAAGTAGGTGAACAGTTAGCAGGGCTACATTCAGACCTTTATATTTGTTCTACTTTTATTTTTAACTTTTGCTTCCATGAGCATATATATATCACTACCTCACAAAGGTACAGCTTTAGACCTCTGTGTCTGGTGAGAGAATAACTGTTGCATATTCCCCTGAGCTCAGAGGAAATGATATTTTAGAAAAGATGAATGGTTATTGACCATTATTTTTTTGTGGATGAGTAAAATATCAGCTACAATTTTAACATAGTTTAAAAAAACGATAGAATTTTGTTTTGTTTTGTTTTTGTTTTTTTTGAAACGGAGTCTCACTCTATCACACAGGCTGCAGTGCAGTGGCACAATTGGCTCACTGCAACCTCCACCTCCTGGGTTCAAGTGATTCTCGTGCCTCAGCCTCCTGAATAGCTGGAATTATAGCCGGGGTCCACCATGCCCAGTTAACTTTTTGTATTTTTAATCAAGATGGTGTTTCACCATGTTGGTCAGGCTGGTCTCGAACTCCTGACCTCAAATGATCCACCTGCCTTGGCCTCCCAAAGTTCAGGGATTTCAGGCATGAGCCACCATGCCCGGCCATGTGGTCTTGATAATAATGAATAAAACTACCAGAATAAAATTGTATCTATCACTTATGTAGTGCTTCCTATGTGTCAGGCACTGTCCCAAATGCTTTACTTCTGTTCATTTAATGCTAATTAAATGATCTGCAGAGTGACTAGGGCCTAACACAGCATGGCTCTTTTGGATACTCACAAGCTAATCAGATGTGAAAATAACATTGTCTTTGGCCCAAGTTGAATAATAGCCATCATAGCAAACTCTTATAAAACACTCTCTGTTAGACAGCATGTGTTTTATTTGCCCTCTCTGGTAATTCATTCAACCCTCAAAACTCTATGAAATGGACACTACTGATATCCCCATATTACAAATGATGTAAGATATAAACAGATGTGCTAGAGTTGGTTCATACTAGCTCATATGAGTCAATTGTTAGAATTTCAGGAATTGTGTGACCTTGTTGTTAAACATAGTCATTATTAAAAATTAAATTATATAAACTTACAGTTAAAAGGTATATTAAAAACAAACATAATAAATACCCAAAACGAGTGGCTTTCTAACTACTTTACTGTATTTCACTATTATCTGTGTTATTGAGGTTATTTCCTTCTAGTGTATCTCTGTGGTAGAAATACTTTATAATGACAAGCCGCTGAACATCTCTCCCTAATTCTGTGTTTAATGATGCCAGATTGGTAGCTTGAAATTGCCCATGGTGAGAGTATTTATACCTTGGAAATCAGCAAATGTTACAGGACTTGATTAATTGTTTCGTTGACTGTCTACACTTAACCAAGTGACTCCAATTCCAACCTGGCATCCTACATTCCAGCCACATCACAGTGCTTTCCATAGCCTTGACTTTCAGTATGCCTTTCCACCTCTATCCTCTAACTTTTGCCATGCTGTTCCCTTCTGTTGAAATCAAGCATCTTTGAAGATTCTCAGATTCTTTTGTAATTCATAAGCATGATGACTCGGTATTCACGTGCATGTGTGAGATGTGCCACCCTGGAACCTTGTTGCAACGTCAGCACATTATGGGTCTGACATGAAAAAAAAATTATCCTGAAATACCACTTTCTTCATGAGGCTGTCTCTGATCTCATTCAGTTGGAATATAGGCAATGATAAAAAAAAAGGCATCTATCATTGTATTGTATTATGTATGCCTACTGCTAATCATATATGAATATTTTAACACTTTTTTTCTTATTTATTTATTTATTTATTTATTTTTAGAGACAGGGTCTCCCTCCATCACCCAGGCTGGAGTGCAGTGGAAAGATCATAGCTCACCGCAACATCGAACTCCTGGGCTCAAGCTATCCTCCCGCATCTTCCTCCCACGTGGCTGGGACCACAGGCATGCACCACCACACCTGGCTAATTTTTAAAATTTGTGTAGAGCCAGGCATGGTGACTCACACCTGCAATCCCAGCCTCCCAAAGTGCCCAGCCACAGTTGTTAGTGTGTATAATCATAACTGCCATTTATTAGACAGAACTGGACAAATAAAGAGACCTGGAAGGTATAGTGACAGTCATCTTTTACAGAAATACAAATATGGCTTCAAAGAGATTAAGTAACTTGCCTGATGTCACACAGCTATTCACAGATAAAGGGAAGGGGAGAAGGCTTATCTTGAATGCCTTTGGCATAAATGTATATTCACGTGTAAGGAAGTAGCTATTCAGTGATCTTCTTCCTAACCTGGTTTTGGAAAGGAGCCCTTGGGAAGTGTCCTTAGACCAAAGAGTGTGACTTAATTATAAAATATAATTTATTTATTATTATTATTATTTTTGTAGTTGCAAGATTTAACAGAGTGAAAACAGAGCTCCCATATAATGGGAGGGGACTCAAAGGGGGTTGCCACTCCCTGCTTGAATGCCTGGGTTTATATCCGGATCATTGTCCCTCCCTCTGTGCTCTCAGGCAATATATGATTTGACTATTTCTTTACCTCCTGCTTTAGCCTAATTTTTATTTTAGTGAGCCCTCTTTACTACCTGATTAGTTGGGTGTGAGCTGAGTTACTAGCCCCGTGTTTAAAGGTAGGTGCAGTCACCTTTCGCAGCTGGGCTTAGGAATTATTAGTTGGCCTAGGAAATCCAGCTAGTCCTGTCTTTCAGTTCCCCCTCTCAACAGGAAAACCCAAGTGCTGTTGCGGAGGTTGGCCGACGATCACTCTAACTGCTTACTGCTGAATTGGGGTGAAGTAGGGGTTGTGCAGTTGAGATTTCCTCTGGAGGGTTGCCTTCGATGTCATCAACATCGGAGCATGGGCTAGCAGGCCAGTCCAGGGGACCCCAGTAGATCTTAGTCATGGGCTGCATCTGGGGCTCCATTTGAAGAACCATTTGTAGTTTACAGCTTCGATTCTGGAAGAGACAAACCTAACAAGGAGGTTAAAGATACAGGGATTGAAATGTATGGCCTGAAGTGCAGGGGATTATTTCTTTGGCACACTTCACAGGCCCTGACTATCTGCTTGATAGTTTTGAAAAGGCCTGGTCCAGTAAATAATAATTTGGCCATCTGATGGGTGCTACCAATGCCAGAGTGAAAGGTTTGGTGAAGGATTTTAAGTAATTTCCATTGGTTAGCTGCAGGCAAAAGTATTTTTCCTTCTTTGGTGGCTAGCCATCCTGAGGGGAGAAAACTATGTCCTCGTGAGGTTCCCCATTCTATTTCTTCTGCTGAGTACTGGGGCTTGGTTTCCTGGAGGGGGTTACCCCACACTAGGGGTCCTTCTATAAGCATTTCTAATGGAGGGTCCCGCCTTGTGGCTCTTTTGGCTTCAATATCCATTTGGCGGTTCCCTTCTATTTCCCTTTCCTTTCCTTTCCTTTCTGATGACCCCAGCAGTGTAAGACTGCCACCTCTTTAGGTTTCTGTACAGCCAATAATAATCTCCTAATGGCTTCCGGATATTTGATAGGTGCTCCCTCGGAAGTTAGGAATTCCTTTTCTGTCCATATTGCTGCGTGGGCATGGAGGACTAGGTAAGCATACTTAGAGTCTGTATATATATTTACCCTTTTTCCTTCTCCTAATTCTAGTGTATGATAGCCCCTGCTTTTGCTAGGATATCTCTCCCTATCAAAGGAGTGGGGCTTTCAGGCATAATTAGAAAGGCATATGAAAAGAGTAAAATTCCCCAGTCACAACTTAGTGGCTGTGAGAAGTATCTAGTGACTGGCTGTCCTAGGACTCCTCGGATAGTGACAGATCTGGAGGACAGTTGTCTGGGACAGGAGAGTAAGACTGAGAAGGCCGCCAGTGTCCAGGAGACAGTTAACCTCCTGGCCCTCAATGGTCAAGCATACCCAGGGCTCTGTGAGGGTGATGGCATGGGCTGGCACTTGCCCTGGGCACCCTCAGTCCTGCTGCTGGATCATCTGGTTAGTGGCTTCTGACTCAGAGGACCTTCGTCCCCTGGGGCAGTGGGCCTTCCAGTGATTCCCTTGACATAAGGGGCATGGACGAGGGGGCGGCTTATTTCTACTTGGACAATCTTTTTTAAAGTGTCCTCGTAGACCACACTGGAAGCAAGCCCTATTAGGCATTCGATTTGCCCAGCTTTTCCCGTTTCCAGAGCCTCCAAAGTCTGCTTGCCTGAGGGCCATGACTAAAGCGGTGGCCTTTTTTTAATCCCGTTTGTCCCGTTCCACCTGCTCCTCCTGATCTCTATTATAAAAAACCGAGGTTGCCCAGTTCAATAGGGTTTCTAAGTTTTGCTCCGGGCCTAAGGCAGACTTTTGAAGTTTTTTTTCCTAATATCTGCAGCTGACTGAGTGATAAACTTATCCTTTAAGATTAGTTGGCCTTCAATAGAGTCAGGTGACAGAGAGCTATGTTTCCTCAACGCCTCCCTTAGTCTCTCCAGAAAGGCAGTAGGATTTTCTTCCTTTCCCTGTGTTATAGTGGACATCATTGAATAATTTATAGGCTTCTTCCTAGTTTTCCTGTCCTTTTAGCACACAAGTTAGCAAATGTCTGCGGCACCAATCTCTGTGTTCTGATTCTGTGTCTCAATGAGTGTCTACACTGGGAACTGCCTGCTGGGCTGTGGGGAATTGTTCTTTTTCCTCCGTTGTCATCCTATCATTGACCTGACTGAGACACCAGAGATCGCCAAACTCTCAGGCTGCAGTTATGGCGGCACTTCTCCCATTTGAGGTTAGTGTCTGATCTAGCAGTGACATTATATCTCTCCATGTCAGATCAAAGGATTGTCCTAACTTAATTCTCAAGGTTATCTGAGAATTTACCTAAGTCTATTTTAATTTGCTTTAAGTCTGAGAGAGAAAAAGGTGCACGCACTCTGACTGGGCTGAACTCTCCAGAATACATCTTAGGGGCGTTTTTGCCTTGGGGGGAATGTTTCCCATCTGAAAAAAGAACATAGGGATGCCAGCACCCCTAGTCATTTTCTGATGCGCTTTAGTCCTAGAGCGTCCTCTATGGTCCTAATGCTTATTCCTTTCCAGGATGCATAACAACCCATGGACCTCTGCTTATCGGATTAGTTACGCTTACCGATGTAGAAGTCTTGCACCTGTTTTCCTGCCTTTCTTGACCACAAAGAAAGGTCCAGGCTGCTGGATTCTAGTGATCCTTTACCAGCGTGCCCAACATTGCCTTTGTGCTCAGGGGTGAGTCCTAGAGCTGGGCTGGGTTCCTGAGTATTTCATAACAACCCAGCTGCCCCATCAAGATGCATTCCCATAAACAACAGTTCTTATGCAAATTCATTTCAGAGACGTTGTAGGTAACCTTTTGAGTCAGGATTGAGATAGAGATTTTTGATTCTATAAGTACTTTAAGGCTTGGCTGAGTGCAAACAGCTCCGCACGTTTGAGCAGACCAATTATTAGGCAAATTTTCTAACTCTGCTTCTACGAGAGTTTCCCTATCAATTACTGAATACCCATTGTGTTTTTTTCTCCTCAATCGCTTGGGAGGAGCCATCAGTCCGTCCTGTCCGGAAGAGAGTTACTCTTAGGTCTGGTCGGACCTTTGTATGGTAATTAAGATTTAAATCCCCTGTTAGGAAATCTGCTGGGTTAAGGGAATTTTCAGTGGTTAGTGTTAAATCACCTTTTTCTAACAGAATAGCCCCATACTTTAAGATTTTTGAGTTAGTAAGCTCCCTTTTCGCTTTTTGACTTAGTTGCTTTTTCCTCTATTGTCATCCTATCATTGACCTGACTGAGATACTGGAGGTCGCCAAACTCTCAGGCTGCAGTTATGGTGGCACTTCTCTCATTTGGGGTTAGTGTCTGATCTAGCAGTAACATTATATCTTTCCACATCAGATCAACTTCCCTTGGATTCCTTGTATTTTTAGTAGAGATGGGGTTTCATCATGTTGGCCAGGCTGGTCTCAAACTCCTGACCTCAAGTGATCTGCCCACCTCAGCCTCCCAAAGTGCTGGGATTACAGGTGTGAGCTACCACACCCGGCCTATTATTACATATTTTTTGCTGGCATATTTCTCCAAGAAAATGAACCAGATATTAAAGTGATATTGCAGAAATGTAGAACTTTTTTTGTTTTGGAAAATATAGCTATTTTTCATAAACATGTTATTTATCTTAACATTTATTGGGCTTAATTTATTACTTTTAAACAAATTAAATAAATATTCTTTATATTTCTCATTTTGATTTCTAATATGATAAATATTGATAGATTTTATTTAACTGTTTTACAGGCAGGGGCTTGAGCTGGCTCTGTCACCCAGGCTGGAGTATAGTGGCATGATCACAGCTCACTGCAGCCTTGACCTCCTAGCTCAAGCTATCCTCCTGCCTCAGCCTCCTGAGTAGCTGAGACTACAGGCACATGCCACCATGCCCAGCTATTTTTTTTGTAGAGACAGTGTCTCACTATATTGCCCAGGCTGGTCTTGAACTCCTAGGCTCAAGTGATCCTCCTGCCTCAGCCTTCCAAAGTGCTGGGATTACAGGCGTGAGCTACCAAGCCTGGCCTCTCAATATTTTTCTTTTTTGTCTCTCTCTGAAAACATTTTCTTATTCTTTTCTTTTGCATATGGGAAAAGAAGGAACTCAATACTTTTTAATCCAAAAATGGAAAGTTTGAGAGTTGCCATTCTAGGGCCTTCTTACTCAAAGGATGCTCTGTTGATCAGCACTAATTTGAATATCCTATGAGCTTGTTAGAACTGCAAACTCTCAGGTCCCACCTGAGACTGACTAAATGAGAATATACATTTTACCATGATCCTCAGGTGATTTGTATGCACATTAAGGTTTCAGAGGCTAAGCATGGTGGTTCATGCCTATAATCTCAACACATTGGGAGTTGAGCTTAAGTCCAGGAGGTTGAGGCTGCAGTGAACTATGATGGGGCCACTGCACTCCAGCCTGACAGAATGAGATCCTGTCTTAAAAAAAAAAAAAAAAAGAATGGCCGGGAATGGTGGCTCATGCCTGTAATCCCAGCACTTTAGGAGGCTGAGGCAGGAGGATCAGTTGAGGCCAGGAGTTTGAGACCAGCCTGGCCAACATGGTGAAATATTGTCTCTACCAAAAATACAAAAATTAGCTGGGTATGGTGGGGCTTGCCTGTGGTCTCAGCTACTTGGGAGGCTGAGGCATGAGAATCACTTGAACCCAGGAGATGGAGGTTGCAGTAAGCCAAGATCATGCCACTGCACTTCAGCCTGGGCTACGGAGCGAGATTCTGTCTCAGAAAAAAAAAAAAAAGTGCCAGGTGCTGTGGCTCATGCCTGTAATTCCAGTACTTTGGAAGGCCGAGGAGGGTGGATCACTTGACCAGCCTGGCCAACATGGTGAAACCCCATCTCTACTAAAATACAAAAATCAGCCAGGCATGGTGGCATGGGCATGTAATCCCAGCTACTTGGGAGGCTGAGGCAGGAGAATCGCTTGAACCCAGGAGGCAGAGGTTGTAGTGAGCCAAGATCACACCACTGCACTCCAGCCTGGGCGAGACCCCGTCTCAAAAAAAAAAAGGTTTGAGAAACATTGGTCTACAGGAGTTGAAAAGTCTTCTTGGAGGAGATGACACTCAAGTTTTGTATGAGAAGGAGGAGGAAGAGCAGCTGGGTGGGGTGGGACTGACTGTAGACGGATGACTTAAGGAGAGAGAAGAGCTTGGGTGAAGGTATAGTAGACAGAAATGTCATGATACACTGGAAAACTACACATAGAACATATCTAAATTCTTGGTAACATTTAGACACCTAAAATATTAATTATGGTGATTACAGTATTCTGCAGTAAAAATCAGGAGCTAAAACTGCCTGTGGTCCTTTCCCTGGGGGAAAATTTTAATTATTTTTCATCTTCGGCTTCCCACATGGGATAAAATTTTAAAATTTTAAAATAAAAATAAAACAAGGAAAAATATGTATAATTATATATATAGATGTTCACTGAAGACAATCTCAAAAATAATAATCTATTCAATCATAGAGAAGTGATTAAGTACAGTAATCATATATTCACTCCATGAGGTTATTTTCTGAAATGGTCATACTTCACAATGTCAGTCTCTATTCTCTATTCTCTTACCTTGCTTTGTTTTTCTTGATAACATGTGACATTTTACTATTATGAATGGTTCATTGCATGTCTCTTCCACTGGAATTAAGCTTACAGGGCAAGGGCCTTCTCTTACTCACTACTAGCAATCCTCAGCATCTAAAATAGTCTAAGCTGGGCACAGCAGCTCACACCTGTAATCCCAGCTACTCAGGAGACTGAAGTAGGAGAATCGCCTGAACCCAGGAGTTCAAGGCTGCAGTGAGCTGTGATCTTGCACTCCAGCCTGGGCAACAGAGTGAGATCCTATCAAAAAACAAAAACAAAAAAGGCCGGGCACAGTGACTCACGCCTATAATCTCAGCACTTTAGGAGGCCAAGCCAGAAGGATAGCTTGAGTCCAGGAATTGGAGACCAGCCTGGGCAACACAGGGAGACCCTGTCTCTACAAATAATAATAATAAAAAAAACTAGCGGAGCGTGGTGGCACGTGCTTGTGGTCCCAGCCATGCTGGAGGCTGAAACAGGTGGATTGTTTGAGCCCTAGAGTTTGAACCTGAGAGATTGAGGCTACAGTGAGCCGTGATCATGCCACTGCACTCCAGCCTGGGCAACAGAGAGAGACCCTGTCCCTTTATTTTATTTTTTCTGTTAATGATGAACTTCTATAGACCCTGTCTCAAAAAAAAAAAAAAAGTTTAGCACATTGTAGGAACTGTATAGTTGTTGGCTATATGCATGAATGAAACATAAAACTTTATTGGGATACAATATTTAGTTAAAATACAGAAAATACGATGAAATGTGTTCTCTCATTAAAACGATGAAAAAATGACATGTTGACAGAGACTAGAATTTTGGAACTTGGAGACAATGGTCACCAAGGTAATACAGAAAAATCAAAATGGTTCAATAGGAGAGGATTGTCAACAATATTCTCTTTCTCGTTAATATTATTGTTTCAAAACAGTTTGTGCAATGAAAAAAATTAGAAAAATGAGGGCAAAATTATGGATAGAATATTGTTTGTCAAGCTTATTTTTGACAAATGGGGCCCTGTATTCCAAGATGGGAAGGGACAGTCCTTGGAGCTTTCAGGGAAAGAAAAGTACAGAGAAGCAGAATGATTTGCTTAGTGTTTGAACAATAGGTAACAGAACACTGGGCAACTTCTGTATTTTTTGTAGAGACAGGGTTTCGCCATGTTAGCCAGGCTGGTCTCAAACTCCTGAGCCCAAGTGATCTGGCTGCCTCAGCCTCCCAAAGTGCTGGGATTACAGGCATTAGCCACCACACCCAGTGTTCTTCATCTTTTAAAACTCAACACTATAGTCATTTCTCTGGGAAGCCCACCCTGATCCTCCCTTTTCCCCACTATAGATATTTCCTAGTCCTGTGTTCTGCCAGCATTTGGTACACGTCTCTATTAGCATCTAGCATTATCTTTCAAGATATCTACTCACCTTATTAGACTGTGGGCTATCCCAGCTAGTTATCTTTTCCCCTTGAATCTGAGCAGACTCTGTAACTCCTTTGATGAATAAAATATGGTAGAAATGATGCTGTTTCAGTTTCCAAGCCCAGACCTTAAAAGACTAAAAGCTTCCACGTCCTATTTCCCGGAACACTGCTTCTTGGGGTCCTTAGGTGTCATGTAAGATATCTGACATTTCTTCTGGAGAGACCTCATGGATAGGCATTGAGACTAGAAGGACCTGCCTGAGCCTAGCCTTCATGAGAGGGTGAAGGGCCCTGCTGAGTCAGCCTTTCAATTGTCCTTGCCAATATGTCAATTATGGAAGCAGAGCAGTCTTGGAACCTCCGGACTGTCCCAACTGCTAGCTGAATATCATCAACTGACCCCAGTTAATTCCCAGTGGGGCAGAAGAATTGGCAATCCAAGCCTCACCCCTAATATTGGCCCACAGAATTGAGAGAAATAATACATTTCTTAAAATAAAGCAACTAAGTTTGGGGATAGTTTATTATACAACAACTGATATCTGGAACAGAATTTGATACCTGGAAATGGGGTGCTTCTGTAACTGTAACCACCCAATGGGTTCACCTTGCCCGCTGCCTAGACAGAGCCAATTTATCAAGACAGAGGAATTGCAATAGAGAAAGAATAATTCACACAGAGTCGGCTGTGCGGAAGACTGGAGTTTTATTATTACTCAAATCAGTCTCCCCAGGCATTCAGGGATCAGTTTTTAAGAACAACTTAGTGGGTGGGGGGAAGCCAGTGAGCCGGGAGTGCTGATTGGTCTGGTCAGAGATGAAATCATAAGGAGTGAAGCTGTCTTCTTGCACTGAGTCAGTTCCTGGTTGGGGGCCACAAGATCATATGAGCCATTTTATCAATCCAGGTGGTGTCAGCTGATCCATCAAGTGCAGGGTGTGCAAAATATCTCAAGCACTGTTTTAGGAACAGTTTAGGGAGGGTCAGAATCTTGTAGCTTCCAGCTGCAGGACTCCTAAACCATAATTTGTAATCTTGCGGTTAATCTGTTAGTCCTACAAAGGCAGTCTAGTCCCCAGACAAGAAGGAAGTTTGCTTTGGCAAAGGGCTGTTATCATCTTTGTTTTAAACTATAAACTATGGCCAGGCGCAGTGGTTTATGCCTGTAATCCCAGCACTTTGGGAGGCTGAGGTGGGTGGATCACTTGAGGTCAGGAGTTTGAGACCAGCCTGGCCAACATGGTGAAACTTCGCCTCTACTAAAAATACAAAAATTAGCCAGGCGTGGTGGCGGGCAGCTGTAATCCCAGCTACTTGGGAGGCTGAGGCAGGGAGAATTGCTTGAAACTTGGAGGCAGAGGTTGCAGTGAGATGAGATTGCGCCACTGCACTCTAGCCTGGGTGACAGAGTGAGACTCTGTCTCAAACAAAACAAAACAAAACAAAACTATAAACTAAGTTCCTCCCAAAATTAGTTCAGCCTATGCCCAGGAATGAATAACTTGGAGATCTGACCTAACCAACTCCATCTTGCTTGAAGGTTAGAAGCAAGATGGAGTTGGTTAGGTCAGATCTCTTTCACCGTCTCAGTTACAATTTTGCAATGGTGGTTTCATAACAACCCAAAATATATGGCATTGGCTTTGGGACTGAGCAATGGGTGGAGATTTGAAGGGTCTTGAGGAGTCTATTACTGCATGCTGGAAAGGCCTAGAGGAGATTGTTGGTGAGTACTTGTTATTGGAAGCTGGAGGAAAGTTTGGCAACGCTGTCCCTTGAGGTAACATGGAAAATAGAAAGGTACCTAATGAACTTATGGATCTGGCTGGGGAGATTCCAGGCAGAAAGTACAGTGTCATCTGTCTTTTCCTAGTTGGCTATGATGAGATATGAGAAGGGCCCAGGGTAATATTTCTAGTTCGAATAAGAATCTCAAAGGAGCCAGGCGCAGTGGCTCACACCTGTAATCCTAGCACTTTGGGAGGCTGAGGCGGGTGGATCACTTGAGGCCAGGAGTTTAAGACCAACCTGGGCAACCTGGTGAAACCATGTCTCTACTAAAATACAAAAAATTAGCCGAGTGTGGTGGCGTGAGCCTGTAGTCCCAGCGACCTGGGAGGCTGAGGCATGAGAATTGTTTGAACCCTAGTGTTGGAGATTGCAGTGAGCTGAGATTGCACTACTGCACTCCAGCCTGGGTGACAGGTTGAGACGCTCTGGCTTCCAAAAAAAAAAAAAAAGGAAGAAATGGCCTTAGGGTAACAATTAAGACCATGGTGTTGCCAGTAAAATGATATCACAGGGCAAAGACAAGTCAGGCACGCAACGTAAAACCTTTTGTTAAGAGATCAGAAAGATTTAAGGCAGTGTCTCATAGATACTTTCAAAATCATTTCTAAGGAAAAAATTATAAGGAACTTAATTTTGTGCCTTATAGACCTTCTGTGCTAAACAATTGAGTTTCTCAGTCTTACTGCTGTGGTGCCGCAGCAGCTTTACAGGAGGCCCAAGGTAGAGAAAGGCTATTTGAAAGACATTTGTGGGTGTGGTGCTTTGCTAATGGAGTGAAGTGTAACTTGACATATGGGAAACTCCCCAAATTTTAGAAAGATTACATTAGCTTGGCCTGAAACCTACTGAGATAGTACAAAATGAAGAGGTCTTTAGATCCCCCCTTTCTCCCCCTCCGGCCTAGTAGGGCAGAAAGCAGACTAAGAAAACTGCTCAGCTACGAAAATGGGCTATTTCTTATGGAAAAGGAAGGATGACTCAGAGGGCAGAATCAAAATTCACAGAGAATC